>NW_016107312.1:0-156965 GCF_000001405.40 Homo sapiens | reverse complement strand
CCCCACTACTGGGTATATACCAAAAGGAAGGTAATTAACTATGTCAAAAAGACACATGCACTAGTATATTCATTGCTGTGCAATTCAGAATAGCAAAGATTTGCAGTCAACCTAAGTGCTCACCAACAGTGGATTAGTTAAAGAAAATGTGCTACATATACACATGGAACATTACATGGCCATAAAAAATAATGAAATCATGTCCTTTGCAGCAACATGAATGTAGCAGGAGGTCAATCTCCTAAGTGAACTAACCCAGGAACAGAAAACCAAATACCACATGTTATCACTTATAACTGAGAACCAAACATTGAATACACATGAACATAAAGATGGAAACAACAGATACCGAGGACTACAGATGGGGGGAGGAGTAGGGAGGTATAGGCTGAAGAAACACCTGTTGGATTCTATGCTCATTGCCTGGGTGATGGCATTGTTGGAACCACAAACCTCAGAGTCACACAATATGCCTATGTAACAAACCTGCATGCATACCTTTAATCTACAGTAAAGGTTGAAGTTATTTAAAAATAGGAAGAAGAATTACCCTATACCTAAAGCTAAGATTTTTCCCTTTGAATATTCGTTTCTTCATCACTGTAGATAAGCAGGGAAAGAAAAATTATTATACTATACTAGCCTTTTATGTGACCATGAGGATTTGGGGTAGGTAGGTGGACAGCTTAGATAATTCACCAGGATATTGATACAGGCTCCATGGCTGGAAATAACCAAGGATGAGTGCTGTGTTTTGAGTGGTCTCCCCCAGAAACGTTTGTTGAAATCCTAACCCCTGGTATGTATGAATGTGAATTCATATTATATAAAAAGGAATAAATAGCCTGAGCACAGTGGCTCACACCTGTAATCCCAGCACTTTGGGAGGCCAAAGCAGGTGGATCATTTGAGGTCAGGAGTTCTGGCCAATATGGCAAAACTTCATCTCTACAAAAAAAAAATACAAAAAAAAAAATTGGCTGGGTATGGTGGCGCATGCCTGTAGTCCCAGCTACTCAGGAGGCTGAGGCAGGAATTGCTGAAACCTGGAAGGCAGAGGTTGCAGTGAGCCAAGATCATGCCACTGCACTCCAGCCTGGGTGAGACGGCAAGATATTCTGTCAAAAATAAATAAATAAAAAACAGAAGAAGAAATACAAGAATGACAGCAAACTTTGTATTCAAAACTATGAAAGTAAGAAACAGGTGGACCAACATTTTTAAAGTGCTACAAGAAAATATTTCAAACTAGAATCTTTCAACCTGAAAAGGAAAACATTTTCCTGCAATAAAGGTGCCATTAAAAATGTCTCACAATTTATTACATGAAGCATTGTTCTACAATAAATGTTAAGCTCTTGAAGCAAAGATTAATGATACCATTTAGTAACTTGAAATTCAAAAAAGTGGAAGTATCCCAAGAGGCAAATACGTGTGCAATTATTAAATGTTTCATATCAACACCCAACCTTATGCTGTCTACATAAGCTGCACTTCAAATACTAATCCACAAGATGTAAATATTGAAAGAATGACATTACCTTGTCATGATAATGCCCAGTGCAAAATATGCTTCTAGTCAGTTGTATACATAGAATAGGTAAATGTTTGTAATAAAAAGTATTCCTCAATAGAAGTTTCTTAACTCAAAGAATGAAATATTTCACCATGCACATACAAAGAAGAGATATATGGAGATATGAAGAGGAGTACTTCATAATGACAAAGAGGCAAATTCATAAATAAGACATAATCATCCTAAATGCCTACACACTTAAAGCTGGAACCTCAAAACACATTAAATTAAAGGCATAATTCAAAACATAATCAATCACATCCAAATTGCAGCTAGAGATAGCAACATTCACCTCACTTCCAGAACAAGTACACAGAAAATTATTAAGCATATGAAAGACTTGAAAAACATTTGTGTAGGCGGCGGGTGCATAAGGTTGGGTGTTGATATGAAACATTTAATAATTTCAATAATCCTAGCACTTTGGGAGGCCAAAATGGGAGGATCACTTGAGGCCAGGAGTTTGAGACCAGCCTGGGCACCATAGTGAGACCCCGTCTCTATTTTTTTTAAATAAAGAAAAACATTTGAATGATTTTTTTCTTAACTGACATTTAGAAAACATCCACCTCAAATCTTCCTAATCCACAAACTTGTCTAGCACCCCTGGAACATTCACCA
The DNA here is from genome assembly GCF_000001405.40 of Homo sapiens. NCBI lineage: Eukaryota > Metazoa > Chordata > Mammalia > Primates > Hominidae > Homo > Homo sapiens. The sequence goes on along the minus strand of NW_016107312.1, from coordinate 154,768 downwards.
AAATAAATTTTTAAATGCTGAATCATAGGTAATATGATAGATGAAACAGTTGAATTAAATTATAAATGTACAACAAGGAAATGCTGGGGAAATTATCAAATATTTTAAAATTAATAAACACACATAGCAATAAACAATGAGTGGAAGAAAAACATTTCAAAGAAAGGTGGAAAATATTTTGTATCAATTAAAAATGAAAACACATCTCGGCAAATGACTGGGGATACAGATAGAACAGCGTTAAGGGACAATAAGCCTCAAATGTCTGTGTTAGAAAAGAAGGAAGAGCTGAGTAAATAGGTAACTTTCACTTGCAGAAATACTACACATCAGCAAATTAATTCCAAAGTAACGTCGAGGAAAAACATAAAATGGCAAGCAAATATATACGTGCATATGTACATACATTCATAAATGACAAACAGGACAGAAAAATCAGTGACATCAATTTTGTTCCTTAGAAGAAACAGGAAAATTGACCCCAAAAAACTTTCCAGGCCACATTTGGTCATGATGGAAATATTTTGGCACTTCCTGGTTAAGCTCAACACCAACTTGCACCCAAAACCAATAATTTCATTTCTAGGTAAATATGTCTAATTAATTCAGCATATGTATGCAAGGGATCACACAGAAACACGATTATCAAGGCCCGAGTTATAAAAGAGAAAATCCGGAAACAACACAAATGTCCATGATAAAAAGAATGGATAATTACATGTTGATAAAGTTATGCATGGACTATTAAACTGCAATCCAAAAGAATAAAATAGAGCTATAAAATTCAATATGTATATGGTGTCATAGAAACACAAATGTGAGAAAAAGAAAGAAAAATACAAAATTTATATTTTTTAAAATTTGAAACAACTATATATGTGAGTGCTTAGGGTGTGTGTGTGTGTGTGTGTGTGTGTGTATAACCATATGTATATAAATGCACACATACGCACACATATAGAATGTCCCGGCCAGGCATGGTGGCTCACACCTGTAATCTCAGCACTTTGGGAGGCTGAAGTAGACAGATCACTTGAGGTTAGGAGTTCAAGACCAGCCTGGCCAACATGGAGAAACCTCCTCTCTACTAAAAGTACAAAAATTAGGTGGGCGTGGTGGTGGGTGCCTGTAAATCCAGCTACTTAGGAGGCTGAGGCACGAGAATTGCGTGAACCTGGGAGGTGGAGGCTGCAATGAGCCGAGGTCTCACCACTGCATTCCAAACTGGGTGACGAAGTGAGATTGCATCTCAAAAAAAAAAAAAGTTCTAAAAGTTGTGACTTGGGTGTGGCAGATTGTGACATACTGCCAGCTGCTAGAAATGCTGGGGCAGGAGGATTGCTTGAACTCTGAAGTCAAAGAACAGCCTGGGGAAAATAGCACATGAAGAAGAGTTTGAATCTCAGATAAAAACAACAAAAATACATCAAAAGTCTTTAATGTAAGCCAAGCATTCAGTCATCTCCTGTATGAGAGATTGGATCTGAGACGTGTTTTGAGTTGGTTATAGTGAAGGATGCAAGGTGTCAATTCTAGTTGGAACAATTTCCAGGAAGCCATGTTCTGCTCTTGACCAAACAGCCACTGGGCCTCATGCAAGGTAGAAATAGCCTGCATACGTCATCCTCCCATGATGTGGTCAGCATGTAAACTGCATGAGCCCCTCACAACATCCTGTGTGCTGCTGAACTGAGCTGGGGCGCAGCCGCCTGTCTGCACCGGCAGCACCATGTCGCTCATGGTCGTCAGCATGGCGTGTGTTGGTGAGTCCTGGAAGGGAATCGAGGGAGGGAGCGGTGGGGTGGAGATCTGGGCCTGGAGTGGAGATATGGGCCTGGAGTGGAGATATGGGCCTGGAGTGGAGATATAGGCCTGGAGTGGAGATATGGGCCTGGGGTGGAGATATGGGCCTGGAGTGGAGATATGGGCCTGGAACTGTAGATATGGGCCTGAAGTAGAGATATGGGCCTGGAGTAGAGATATGGGCCTGGAACTGTAGATATGGGCCTGGAGTGGAGATATTGGCTTGGAGTGCAGATATGGACCTGGAATTGAGATACGGGCCTGGAGGTGGAGATATGGGCCTAGAGTGGAGATATGGGCCTGGAGGTGGAGATATGGGCCTGGAACTGTAGATATGGGCCTGGAGTAGAGATATGGGCCTGGAGTGGAGATGTTGGCTTGGAGTGCAGATATGGGCCTGGAATGGAGACACGGGCCTGGAGGTGGAGATACAGGCCTGGAGGTGGAGATATGGGCCTGGAGTGTAGATATGGGCCTGGAGTAGAGATATAGGACAGAGGTGGAGATATAGGCCTGGAGTGGAGATATGGGCCTGGAGTAGAGATATAGGACGGAAGTGGAGATATGGGCCTGGAGTGGAGATATGGGCCTGGAGGTGATGTACAGATGGATCATCCATCATGATCTTTCTTTCCAGGGTTCTTCTTGCTGGAGGGGCCCTGGCCACATGTGGGTGAGTCCTTCCCCCAAACCTTAGGTTGTCATCTCCCCACATAAGATGATGTTCCTGAAACGGGAGGCAGGCGACACAGGGGGTTGACTGATGGGCTGACCATGGGAAGCCATGTGGGAATCTCTCATGAACTAGGAAAAGGAAGCCAGGGGAAGCTTCGCCACAGTTCTGTCCTAGCCCTCCCCGGCCTTTCTTTCCCTTGGCTGAGTCTGTGGGGACCCAGGGGGAGACTGAAGTGCTCAAAGGAGTGGTGTGCAGGGAGGAAGTGGTGTCACCGGCAGAGGAAGGGAGAGAAGCAGTGCAAGGAACAACAGGCCTCTGAGGACAAGAGCATAACTCACACCCTCCAGCGTTTCCATGACGGTAGGGGCTGCAATGTGGCTGCTGTCATTCTACCTAAGAGGTGGGGGAACCACAGTCATGACCCTGACATTCCAGATCTTCTAATAGGGGCTCAGTTGTTTATTATGGTTCATGCATTAGCTGATCATGCCCTCCATCCTGTGTCTACCTTGTGTTCTTTTATGTAAGTAATTTTGCAGTGTTAAAATCTAGTAAGAGTCGCTTCTTCAGCACCTGCTCAAAGTTCTCAGCTGACACTTGCTGTAGGGAGACGCCATGTCTATGCGGGATGGGTCCTTCCTGTAGCCCTGGGCACCCAGGTGTGGTAGGAGCCTTAGAAACGTGGAAATGGGAGAATCTTCTGAGCACAGGGAGGGAGGGGCGGCTCCACATCCTCCTCTCTAAGGTAGTGCCTCCTTCTCCCCCAGGTGGTCAGGACAAGCCCTTCCTCTCTGCCTGGCCCGGCACTGTGGTGTCTGAAGGACAACATGTGACTCTTCAGTGTCGCTCTCGTCTTGGGTTTAACGAATTCAGTCTGTCCAAAGAAGACGGGATGCCTGTCCCTGAGCTCTACAACAGAATATTCCGGAACAGCTTTCTCATGGGCCCTGTGACCCCAGCACATGCAGGGACCTACAGATGTTGCAGTTCACACCCACACTCCCCCACTGGGTGGTCGGCACCCAGCAACCCTGTGGTGATCATGGTCACAGGTCAGAGGCTTTCTGTCTGGGCTTCTCACTGTCCCACCTCCTGAATCCCAGAGCTTCTGGTGGGGGTGTCCATCAGGGTCCAATCATCCAGGCCCAGACTGTATTTGGGGTAAAGGGGGATTCAGTACAGAGAAATAGTTGCTGTGGTGGGAAGAATAATTGTCCCCAGTGATGGCTACATGGTAATCCATGAACCCTGTGACTATTTATGTCATAGGGCAGGGGACTGAAGGGGAAGATGGAGCTCAGGTTGTTGATGGGTTGACCTTGCGATGGGGAGACAGCCTGGACTGTCCTGCTGTGCTCAGAGTAATCACAAGGGTCCTCATGAGAGGAGGAGGAAGAGGAAAGTGGGGTTAGAGCAACGTCGTGGGAGGGAGACTCCATCAGCCACAGCGGGCTTTGAAGATGGGGGAAGGCCATGAGCCACAAAGGCAGTTGGCCTCTAAGGGCTGGAGAAGTCAAGGGAACTGATTCTTCCCTGAGTCTCCAGAGGAAACACAGCCCTGTAGATGCCTTGATTTTAGCCCAGAGAGAACTGGGTCCGATTTCTGTTCTCCAGAAGTGGAAGGGGTCATTGTATTCTCTCCTGCCCCATGTTTGTGACAATTTTCTCCAGCAGCAACAGGAAACCAACACAGGAACCCAGGTGAAGCACAAGTTAAGAAACCAAACAAGGAGAAGGTTGGCTACACTGATTTTAGCATGGGTGGGATACTGATGCTACCACCAGGCTCGATCCACATAGGGAGGGGTTGATGCTCCTGGAACCAGCACCAGGGGCCACCCTATGGAAGCTGGGGCCATGGAGAAGGCACAGACATGACAGGAGAGGCTCCCAATCCCCATCAGGAACAGGGACACTGATGCCTGCCTTACTGATGAGTTCGTACCTCCTGCCAGCCTTTCCAATCTGTCCAAAAGAGATTGATTCAGGCTGCTAAGAGCCTGGACATGCAGCCTGTCGTGGTTCCTCTTCCACCCCCACATAAACACCAGGAAAGAGATTAGTGGGAAACAGATACAACAGCATAAGAGGTGACACTGAGCACAGTGGGAAGGGAATCAGGGCTACTAGAGACAGAGAGACAGGGAAGAGGGAGGGAGACAGATGGAGGGACCTGCAACAGGGGTTATGGGCACAAAAGAACACGGAGACACAGAGAGGAAGGAGAGAGATAGACACCATGGAGGGGAAGCCTCACTTATTTCAGGTCCCATGAATGGGATGAGAAAGGGAGACGCCTTCTGAACTCACAACCTCTCTTCTTAGGAGTCCACAGAAAACCTTCCCTCCTGGCCCACCCAGGTCCCCTGGTGAAATCGGGAGAGACGGTCATCCTGCAATGTTGGTCAGATGTCAGGTTTGAGCGCTTCCTTCTGCACAGAGAGGGGATCACTGAGGACCCCTTGCGCCTCATTGGACAGCTCCACGATGCGGGTTCCCAGGTCAACTATTCCATGGGTCCCATGACACCTGCCCTTGCAGGGACCTACAGATGCTTTGGTTCTGTCACTCACTTACCCTATGAGTTGTCGGCTCCCAGTGACCCTCTGGACATCGTGGTCGTAGGTGAGAGAATACAGACCTGCCTCTCACCCTTGCTGGGAGATGGAGTGAATGATCTAGGACTGGAAGCCCCAGGTGGTCATGAGGAAGATGAGTGTGGGGTTCCTATGGAGAGAAAGTGACTTGGTGAGGTCTGTACCAACAAAGGCAGAGAAACAGGAGACACAAGTACAGACCTCATGTCATAACATAGAAGCCAGACACAGGGGCCATACAAGGTGTTAGAAAAAGAGATAAAGAGGTAAAGAAGACACAGAGAGACAGATATATCCCAGAGAGAGGTGTCCTTCTATGCTGACTTTGTTCAGAGACCAGGCACAGGTTAGAAGGTTCCATTCTGTTTTACCTCTACAAAGTGTTCTCTCCCAGGAGAACCCAAAGAGACACATCTATCTGGCCTGAGTTGGGCCGTGTGGCCCCAGGCTGGTGGCACCTACAGATGCTGTGTTTATTCTTAAACCTCTGCCTTCCGTGCAGTGGAGCTGTCGTCGTCGCAGGACACCATGGCCCCAGGTGAGGGAGCAGAACACCAACCCCTGTATGTTGTGAGTTCCTGGAGTCCCCATACTGGATTCTGAGGCTCATATTCAAATAGCACCACATGTTATAGGATTACTGAGAACAAAAGCCCACAGAGAGACACGGAGTGAAATCAGGGAAATCAAAAAGCAAAGACATGAACACACACACAGAATGAGCCAGAAGAAGGGAATTGAGAGACTCACAGACACATAAAGAGATAGAAAAAGAGGGCAGAGAAGTGGAGCGTATGATGGAAGGAAGCAGAGAAAAGCCCTAAAATCAGAGCCCTGAGGGAGGGGCACAAAGACAGGGAAAGATGAAGATGTGGGGATGGATTGCAGAGACTCCAAAAGGGAACTAGAGAGACTGAGAGGCAGAGAAAGACAAGGAGATGGAGAGAGACAGATGATAGATGGATAGATAGATATAGATAGATGAAAGATAAAAGGTAGATGATAGATAATAGAGAGACAGGTGATAGACAAATAGATGATGAATGACTGATAGATGATATAGATAGACAAGTAGAAAGACAGACAGATGATATATAAATAGATATAGAGAGATAGAAAGATAAACACATGATGATAGATGGATAGATGCATACATACATACATTGATTGATAGATGATAGATAACAGAGAGATAGGTCATAGATACACAGATGATGATAGATGATAGATACATACATAGATAAATGATAGATCGATCAATAGATAGTAGATAGAAATATGCAGAAAGTTATGAGCAAGACAGAAAGTGAGAGACTCAGAATTAAAGAAAGAGGAAGATCAAGTCAACCAGTCCAAGGAGGGTCAGAGAGAATAAAATGGTACAAAAAAAGAAAACATAGCTAGGGATGGAGAAGTGAGGTCAGAGACCTAGAGAGACAGAGAAGGTGGAAGGAGGAAATAGACATGAAGAGAGATGGGGGTGGAGGGTGAGAGAGAGAAAGAGAGCATTAAGTCATAGAGCAGGGGAGTGAGTTCTCAGCTCAGGTGTGAGGAGAGCTGTGACAACGAAGAACCTCCCTGAGGAAACCACCTCTTCTCCTTCCAGGTCTATATGGGAAACCTTCTCTCTCAGCCCAGCCGGGCCCCACGGTTCAGGCAGGAGAGAATGTGACCTTGTCCTGCAGCTCCCGGAGCTTGTTTGACATTTACCATCTATCCAGGGAGGCAGAGGCCGGTGAACTTAGGCTCACTGCGGTGCTGAGGGTCAATGGAACATTCCAGGCCAACTTCCCTCTGGGCCCTGTGACCCACGGAGGGAACTACAGATGCTTCGGCTCTTTCCGTGCCCTGCCCCACGCGTGGTCAGACCCGAGTGACCCACTGCCCGTTTCTGTCACAGGTGAGAAAACACCATGCCTGTCCCATGTCTTGTGATCCTAGAGCCATAGCTGAGGAGCTTCCTGCTGATGATGGAGAGAAGCATGGACAGATGCCGAGACAGAACACACAGCATGGGTGTAAGGGCGGGGTCAGGGGGCAGGATGGCAGACAGGGCACCTCCAAACCCTCCTGTATGGCCTGCAAGGAGGCCCTTGATCAGGGTTCCAGGCACCCAGGCAGATGGAGAAAGAGGTCAGAACAGACCCAGAGGAGGGAGACTGGGCTCTGCCTGGGGAGATCAGAGGTTCTCTCAGCCCCTCAACCTTACCCACTTCCCAGAAGCCCATCCTGGCCTGTCACCCACAGAGAGATGTCATCACCAGCAACGCCTACACCCTTTTCTTTTTGTTTGAAGAAATATTTATTGAGGTGAAATATACCTATGTAATTTACCACCTTTACCATTTTTAAGTGTGAAGTCTACTGTTCATAAATACATTTATAGGCTGGGCACGGTGGCTCACTGTTGTAATCCCAACACTTTGAGAGGCCAAGGCAGGTGGATCATTTGAGATCAGGGGCTCAAGACCACCCTGGCCAACATGGGGAAAATCCATCTGTACTAAAAATACAAAATAATAATAATAATGATAATAATTAGCCGAGCATGGTGGCACATGCCTGTAGTCCCAGCTACTTGGGAGGGTTGGGCAGGAGTTGCACTTAATTGCAGGAGGCGGAGGTTGCAGTGAGCTGAGATCATGCCACTGCACTGCAGCCTGGGCAACAGAGAGAGACACTCTCTCAAAATTAATTAATTAATTAATTAGTATTCTTTTTTTTTTACCCTCCACCCTTCCCTTCCTGGCCTCTGGTAGCCACCATTCTACTCTCTACCTTTGTGAGATCCACCTTTTAGCTCCTGCATATGAGTGAGAAATGGAAATACTTGTAATGACCTCCAGTTCCATTCATGTGGCTGTAAATGACAGGATGTTACTCTTTCTATGGATGAGTTGTCCCTATTGTGTGTGTGTACCACATTCTCTCCATCCATTCACCCACTGATGGGCAGGTAGGTTGATCCACATCTTGGCTACTGTGAACACTGCTGGAACAGTCATGGGAGTGCAGATGTCACTTCGATACGCTGATGTCCTTTCCTTTGGGTTTACACCCAGTCATGGAATTGCTAGATCCTCTGGAAGTGTCTTTTTACATTTTGTTTTATGGTTTTTGTTTTTGTTTTTGTTTTTTTTAGACAGTTTCACTCTTGTTGCCCAGGCTGGAGTGCAGTGGTGCCATCTGGGCTCACTGCAACCTCCACCTCCAGGATTCAAGAGATTCCCCAGCCTCAGCCTCCCAAGTAGCTGGGTTACTGGCTCCCACCACCACACTCGGCTAATTTTTATATTTTTAGTAGAGACAGAGTTTCGCTATATTGGCCAGGCTGCTCTTCAACTCCTGACCTCAAGTGACCTACCCACCTCGGCCTCCCAATGTGCTGGGATTACAGGCATGAACCACTGTGCCCGACCTCATTTTATTTTTTGAGGAACTTCCATACTCTTCTCCTCTGTAATGGCTGTACTAATTTGCATTCGTATCAGCAGTGTACCAGATGCAACCCTGGTTGACTCAGCAGAGCAAGAGACGTGCAGTAAGAGAGAATTTAGCTTATTTATGCACACGACACTTCCACTCACTCACTCGTTCAGCCAATGCCCCATGCTCTGGCTGTGCAGTGTGGAATCTTTTCCTATTGTTGCCATAACAAATTTCCACAAGCTTCGTGGATGAAAACATGTTTTTCTTAATTATCTCACAGTGCTGTAACTCAGAAGTATGAACTGCATTTCACTGGGCTGATATCAAAGGGACAGTAAGGCTGGATTTCTTTTTAAGGTTCCAAGCAAGAATCTGCTCCTTAACGTTTCCCAGCTCCTAGAGGCTCCCACGTTCCTGGGCCCCTGGTCCCCTTCCTCCTTCCTCCTTCCTCAAAGCCCACAAAGGCTGGTCACGTCTCACATGGCATCATTCAGACTCTTCTTCTTTACCCATACCTTTTTCTCTGAATCCTGCTCTGCCTTCTTCCTCATCTTTTAAGGACTTTGGGATTCTATTGGGGTCACCAAGATAATCCATCTCAATCTCCCTAAAATCATCCAGCGTACCCTCTTTTTAAGTTCAGCTGATTAGCAACCGTAATGCCATCTGCAATCTTCATTCCTCCTTTCCTGTAAAATAACATATTCACAAGCTATGGAGGCTAAGACAGGGACATTTTGGGGGTGGGGCAGCATTCTCCTGCCTTCCACAAATGGTAAACAGGATGCATTTGGCCTCTGCTCTTGGGACGCTGATATTGCAGATGGGTAAATGCGAGGGCAGAGAATGAATGCACAAGGGTACCAATAAATGAATGATCCATTGGGAAGCATCTGTGCACCAAATCTGGGGTTTTTTGTGTGTGTGTGTGTTTTTTGTTTTCTTTTTTTTTTTTGAGTAGAGTCTCTCTCTGTTCCACAGGCTGGAGTGCAGTAGCACAATCTCAGCTCATTGCAACCTCTGCCTCCTGGGTTCATGCAATTCTCCTGCCTCAGCCTACCGAGTAGCTGGGATTACAGCTGTGCGCCACCACACTCGGCTAATTTTTTTGGTATATTTTTTAGTAGAAATGAGGTTTCACCATGTTGTGCAGGCTGTCTCAAACTCCCAATCTCAAGTGATCCCACCGCCTTAGCGTCCCTAAGTGCAAAGATTACAGGCGAGAGCTACTGCGCCCAGCCAGGATTTAAAATAAGTAATAGATAATGCTGAGTATATAATTTCAGGTGACAGAGAAGGTCTCACTGATCAGATAATATTTGTGACCTTAATGGAAAAAATGGATTCAACCCTTGGAAGATTGGCGGAAGGATTTTCCACACTGAGCTCTCAGCCGTGAAGGCACAAAGGTGGAAACATTCTTAGTTCAAGGAAGAGGCTCTGCCTCAAATGCTGGGAATGAGATGGGGAGAATGACAAGACAACTGTAGAGAGATGGAGAGCACACTGGGTACACAGGAAACTAAGGAGGAACAAGGAGCATGTTTTTGATACTCACAGCCCTTGGATTCAACTCAGAGCTAACTAGGAATCCCTACCTGATTAACAGTGACCGACATGAAAATAAGGGAGGCCCAGGTGCGTAACTGGAATCTAGGAGACCGTGGAAAAGGCAATTCCCGCCCCACTGGTGAAACGTAGGGTTGATTTACACACTAAATGAATGAAAGATGGATATAAGCTATGCTTGTGAGGTAGAATCATTTGCAGGGAGGGCTTGCTGGGTTTGATTTTTCCTAGTAGTTTAATCCTTGTTTCATTAATTTCTTTCTGAGATGTGTTTTTTTTCTACATCTAAATCAATACCTGGCAGAGGAGCGATAGACACATGAGGGGTGGTGCAAATGAAGGGACCTAGTATAATATAATATACAAGACTGTGGATGGGGGCTCACACCTGTAACCCAACACTTTGGGAGGCCAAGGCGGGTAGATCACTTAAGGGTAGGAGTTTGAGACCAGCCTGGCCAACATGGTGAAACCCCGTCTGTACTAAAAATACAAAAATTAGCCTGGTGCATTGGCACCTGCCTGTAATCCCAGCGACTGGGGAGGCTGAAGCAGAAGAATGGCTTCAACCCTGGAGGCAGAGGTTGAACTGAGATCGCATCACTGCACTCCAGCCTGACACAGGGGGACTCTGTCTCAAAAAATAAAAATAAAACATACATAATTATGACACACAGAAATTACAAAGGCAACTGGATACCAACCATCATTTTTCTATTTCTCTGTGTTTAATTCTTTGACCCTTTATCTTATCCATTAAACAATCAGGTTAAACCTCTTCCTTATTTGGCTTTCTGTGAGCTTGGGATCATATGGAAAATGTGAAAGCCTCCTGAACCCACCAGCACAGGTCCTGGAATAGAGAACGTGCTCTGTTCATGGCATAAAACTTGCCCCTTCACCCAAATCCCCCAATTCATCTCTACTTCCAATCACCTATGGAGATACAGATAGATCATGGGGAGGTAAACACTAATACTCTTTGGAGTGAGCTCAGATCTTGGACTCAGAGACCAGTGCCAGCACTAGCCCCTGGTCACATTTCGTACTAACTCACAGAAGGACAGGCTGTATTGAAACAATAAACGACGGAGAGGGCGGTCCTTCCCCGTGCTTCTCGGGTGGAATAGCAGCCTAATATATGTCTCAGCAGATCACAAAAAGTAGCATGTTGTTCCTGGGCTACATCATTATTTCATGGCTGTTTGATTTAAGTCAGTTCTACTTCACTTTTTTTATCTTGATTTCATTTTTTCTTTCTTTTCTTGGAGAATGTAATTTTTTTGAGTCAAGAGGGTTGTGGTGGTAGAAACTGTAAAGCACATTCGCTGTGTATCAATCCCAATCCAGTCTTCCCAGAGAAGACTCTAAACACCTCCTGGAATGTACCTGGGCCTATACCAATTCCTATCACTCACCGTCACTCCAGGGAGACAGAACACACAGAGAACACATTACACAGGCAGGTTCATTACTAACAGATAAGCAGCGAGTGACAACAGAAGCCTACATTTCAATGTGAGCCAGTCCCTCAAGGCTCAGAAAAGCTGCTCGAGACATGTGGAGTCACCCCATATGCAGTGTATCTGGGGGAAATCAAAAAGCAGCCCAGCCTGGGTTTTGTACCCTGGAGCCACAGGAAGCACTCAGCTAAAGCACTGCATGACGTCCTCCTCCAGGAAGAACAGGAAGACAGCCCAGGCTGTTCTGGGATGTTCCTCCTGATCTCAGGACTTTGCTGTCTTAGTCCATTTTTGTTGCTCTAAAGGAACACTTGAGCCTGGGTAACTTCTAAAGAAAAGAAATGTGTTTGCCTCACAGTTCTGCAGGCTGTACTGGAAGCATGGCACCAGCATCTATTTCTTGTGACGGCCTCAGGCTGCTCCCGCTCTGGCAGAAGGGAAGGAGGGTCTATCTGTGCAGAGACCACAGAGATCACACGGCAAGAGAGGGAGCAAGGGGGAGGGGGAGCGATGGAGCTTCCAAGTTCTTTTTAACAACCAGCTCTCCAGGAACTAATAGAGGGGGAACTTGCTAACCCCATCTCCTTGGGACAGCATTGATCTGTTCATGATGGATCCACCTCCATGACCCAAACACCTCCCAAGAGGCCCAACCTCCCACCCTGGGGGTTACATTTCAATGTGAGGTTTGAAGTGGTCAAACATCTAAACTAAAGCAGTTGTATCCTCAGCACGTTCTATGGTTACTACAACTGAGAAAGCAGGAGGAAGCTAGGTCTCCCGCCATCTGGGTGCTTGTCCTAAAGAGACGTTGTATGTGGTTACCTGTCAATCAAGAAATGTGAGACAATTCATATAGAGGAACTGCTATGATTAGCTTCTTATTGGTGTCTTGTCTTCCTCCAGGTAACTCCAGATACCTGCACGCTCTGATTGGGACCTCAGTGGTCATCATCCCCTTTGCTATCCTCCTCTTCTTTCTCCTTCATCGCTGGTGTGCCAACAAAAAGAGTAAGTCTCACGAAGCAGAAGCCAGAGAGCTCAGGGCCATGTGGGGAAGCAGGATGGGAGCACTCAGGTGTGTGTTCCTTACAGGCAGGATGGTCCCTGACCCAAGGCAGGAGCCACAGAGGCAGGACTTTCTAGAGAGAGCACCAGACTCCCTGCCCCTGCCTTCAGCTCACAGACCATTGCCTGATTCTGAACCATATCCTCACATCCCCTGCAGCCACTCACATCCAGGAGAAGGTTCCATGACAGGCAGAAAGTGGGAGACAGAATCAATGGGATGGGAACTCAGAGCTATTCATGGGATGGGTCCTTGAGCTCAGAGAGATAGAATGTCTGAGTCTGCTGTTGGCAACTGAGGGACCTCAGGCACCTATGGCCTCCCCCTGCATGTTGGTATCTGCTTATGAAATGAGGACCCAGAAGTGCCCTCCGAGCTGTTTTGACGACTTCCGTCTTCTACAGATGCTGTTGTAATGGACCAAGAGCCTGCAGGGAACAGAACAGTGAACAGGGAGGTAGGTGCTCCTCAGCCCAGCCTCATGGCTAGTCTTATTCCCAAAGAGTCCTGAAAAATGTGAGCACCCTCCCTCACTCAGCATTTCCCTCCCTCCAGGACTCTGATGAACAAGACCCTCAGGAGGTGACATACGCACAGTTGAATCACTGCGTTTTCACACAGAGAAAAATCACTCGCCCTTCTCAGAGGCCCAAGACACCCCCAACAGATACCAGCGTGTAACACGGAACTTCCAAATGCTGAGCGCAGATCCAAAGTTGTCTTCTGTCCACCAGCACCACAGTCAGGCCTTGATGGGATCTTCTAGGGAGACAATAGCCCTGTCTCAAAACCGGGTTGCCAGCTCCCATGTACCAGCAGCTGGAATCTGAAGGCGTGAGTCTGCATCTTAGGGCATCGCTCTTCCTCACACCACGAATCTGAACCATTGATGCCTCTCTCTTGCTTACAAATGTCTAAGGTCCCCACTGCCTGCTGGAGAGAAAACACACTCCTTTGCTTAGCCCACAATTCTCCATTTCACTTGACCCCTGCCCACCTCTCCAACCTAACTGGCTTACTTCCTAGTCTACTTGAGGCTGCGATCACACTGAGGAACTCACAATTCCAAACATATAAGAGGCTCCCTCTTAACACGGCACTTAGATACATGCTATTCCACCTTTCCTCATGTTGTTCCACCTTTCCTCAGAGTATCTTTCAGCCTTCTGTCAGCAGTAAAACTTATAAATTTTTTTTATAATTTCAATGTAGTTTTCTATTCTTCAAGTAAACATGTCTGCCCTCATGGTTTCGTCAATGGGACTCTTTTCTTGCCTAAGGCTTCCGGTGTTATCATTACCACGTCCACATAACCCCATCTGTTCTCCGCTGGGTTCTCACCCCTGGACTCTGAGCTTCTGGAAGCAGGGTGGAGCCTGAATTGTCTCTGAGACTCCAGTTTCCATCCAAAGATGCAGCACATAGGAGGTTCCAAGGATGGTGAATCAGATGAACAAGTGATATTCTTACTCTCTGCAGATCTGGAAAGCTGGCAGAGTCATTCCACGATGAAACATTTGTAGAGTCATAGGCCTTGTTAGTCTCATCTCCACAGGGACACGTATCAACACATCATCTTTCATACTACTATAAATAGACAGTCACTCCTCCATATCTCTGGGGTTTACACATGTTTATTGAATCAGCAATAAATCAAAAATATTTTGAGAAAAAAAATCCCCGAAGTTTCAAAAAGCAAAAAACTATGTTGAATCGACACAAATTGAGTGGCGTGTAGGCTGTGTCAGGAATTATAAGTAATCAAGAGATGATTTCATGTATACAGGAGGATGTGCATGGGTTCTATGCAATTGCTATGCTATTTTTTTTTTTGAGACAGTCTCACTCTCTCACCCAGGCTGGAGTGCAGTGGCGTGATCTCAACTCACTGCAACCTCCGCCTTCCAGGTTCAAGCGATTCTCTTCCCTCAGCCTCCTCAGTAGCCTCCCCTAGGATTACAGGCACGTGCCACCCTGCACAGATAAATTTTTTTGTGTGTGTATTTTTAGTAGAGACGGGGTTTCAGAATGTTGGACCAGCTGGTCTTGAACTCCTGACCTTGTGATCTACCCAGCTCAGCCTCCCAAAGTGCTGGGATTACGGGCGTGAGCCACGGTGCCCAGCTTCACTATGCCATTTCATGCAAGGGGCTTGAGCATCTGCAGATTTTGGTATCTGAATGGGGATCCTGGAACCAATCACCCAGGTATAGTGAAGGACCATGGTATATAATTTTTATTTGTCAATCTTAAAAATAAAGCATAAAAAATTTACAACAACAAGATAAAAAATAAGAAGTGTTTTTATAGTGTGAGGATAAGTTTAGATTTATTTTTTCCTACGTGTAACCCTATGGTCCTGTGTTATTTGTTGAGAAAATATTCTATTCCACCTTAAACTACATGGCAGCCTTTGTCAACTATAAAGGGACTGTGTATCCACAGATGTATTTTAGACACAGTTTTCTGTCCAGTGGTTCTCTGTATCCCCTCTCATGAGGATGCTGCATTTTATATAAACTTATAGAACCCCTTAAAATTTGGTAACCTGAGTCCTCTGATTTGTTATTATAGGTTATTTAGTTTGCTTTTTTTTTTTCTTGAGACAGACTCTTCCTCTGTCACCCAAGCTGGAGTTCAGTGGCTTGAGCTCAGCTCACTGCAACCTCCGCCTCCCAGGTTCAAGCTATTCTGATGCCTCTGGTTTAGTACTAGAAACTCAAGCAGGAAAATTAGAATGGCTTCTTGTCACAATTACTCTGATAATGTTAATAATACCTGTTAGACATTTTGCACATTACATATGAAGAAGAGTTTGAATCTCAGATAAAAACAAAAATACATCAAAAATCTTTAATGTAAGCACAGAATTCAATCATCTCGTGTATGAGAGGTTGGATCTGAGACGTCTTTTGAGTCTGGTCGTAGTGAAGGACGCAAGGTGTCAATTCTAGTGAGAACAATTTCCAGGAAGCCATGTTCCGCTCTTGAGCGAGCACCCACTGGGCCTCATGCAAGGTAGAAAGAGCCTGCGTACGTCACCCTCCCATGATGTGGTCAACATGTAAACTGCATGGGCAGGGCGCCAAATAACATCCTGTGCGCTGCTGAGCTGAGCTGGGGCGCGGCCGCCTGTCTGCACAGACAGCACCATGTCGCTCATGGTCGTCAGCATGGCGTGTGTTGGTGAGTCCTGGAAGGGAATCGAGGGAGGGAGTGCGGGGATGGAGATCGGGGCCCAGAGTTGGAGATATAGGCCTGGAAGTGGAGTTATGGGCCTAGAGATGGAGTGATGGGCCTAGAAGTGGAGATCTGGGCCTGGAGTGGAGATATGGGCCTGGAGGTTGAGATATGGGCCTGCAGTAGAGATATGGGCTTGTAGTGGAGACATGGGCCTGGAGATGGAGATATGGGCCTGGAGATGGAGATATGGGCCTGCAGTAGAGATATGGGCCTGGAGTGGAGATATGGGCCTGGAGTGGAGATATGGATCTGGAGGTGGAGATACGGGCCTGCAGTAGAGATATGGGCCTGGAGTGGAGATATGGGCCAGGAGTGGAGTTATGGGCCTAGAGGTGGATATCTGGGCCTGGAGTGGAGATATGGGCCTAGGAAGGAGATATGGGCCTGGGTGTGGAGATATGGGACTGGAGAGGTGATATGGGCCTGGAGTGGAGATATGGGCTTAGGGTGGAGATCTGGGCCTGGGGCAGAGATATGGGACTGGATTGGAGATATGGGCCTAGGGTGGAAATATCAGCCTGGAGTGGAGATATGGGCTTGTGGTGGGGATCTGGGCCTGGAAACTGGGTCTCTGCACAGCCGACAGCCCTGTTCTTGGGTGCAGGTAGGCACTGAGGGTGAGTTTAACTTCAGCCCAGGAAGGGCCTGGCTGCCAAGACTCACAGCCCAGTGGGGGCAGCAAGGGAGTCCTGGTTTGCCTGCAGATGGATGGTCCATCATGATCTTTCTTTCCAGGGTTCTTCTTGCTGCAGGGGGCCTGGCCACATGAGGGTGAGTCCTTCTCCAAACCTTCGGTTGTCATCTCCCCACATAAGAGGATTTTCCTGAAACAGGAGGGAAGTCCTGTCAGGGAGTCTCTCATAAACTGGGAAGAGAGGACCCTGGGGTGCTCGGCCCACATTTCTGACCTTGCCTCCCTGGCCTCTCAACCCCTTGGCAGAGTCAAGTTCTGTGGGGACCAGGGTTAGACTGGGGTGCTCAAAGCTGGGGTGTGTGGTGGGGAAGTGGTAGGAACAGCAGATCCTCTGAGGACAAAGGTGTTACTCACACACTTCAGCGTTTCCATGATGGTAGGGGCTGCAGTGTGGCTGCTGTCATTCTACCAGAAGAGGTGGGAAACCACAGCCATGGCCCTGACATTCCAAATCCTCTGATGGGGACTCAGTTGTTTATTTTCGTTCAGGCATCCGCTGATATCCACTCACAAAGGACATGCCCTCCACCTCATGTCTACCCTGTGTTGTTTTATGTGAGTAATCTTACAGTATTAAAATCTAGTAGGAGTCTCTTTACTCAGCACTTGCTCAAAGTTCTCAGCTGAGGCTTTTGTTGTAGGGAGACACCATGTCTTTGCGGGATGGGTCCTTCCTTCAGCCCTGGGCACCAAGGTGTGATAGTAGCCATAGAAACGTGGAAAGCGAGGAGAATCTTCTGAGCACAGGGAGGGAGGGGCAGTTCCACATCCTCCTCTCTAAGGCGGCGCCTCCTTCTCCCCAAGGTGGTCAGGACAAGCCCTTGCTGTCTGCCTGGCCCAGCCTTGTGGTGCCTCTAGGACATGTCATTCTTCGGTGTCACTCTTATCTTGGGTTTAACAACTTCAGTCTGTACAAGGAAGGTGGGGTGCCTGTCCCTGAGCTCTACAACAGAATATTCTGGAACAGCCTTTTCATGGGCCCTGTGACCCCCGCACAACAGGGACATACAGATGTCGGGGTTCACACACACACTCCCCCAGTGGGTGGTCAGCACCCAGCAACCCCCTGGTGATCGTGGTCATAGGTCAGAGGGCTCCTGTCTTGGATTCTCCTTGTCCCACCTCCTGAATCCCAGAGCTTCTGGTGGGCATGTCCTTGAGGGTCCCATCACGCAGGCCCTGACTGTATTTGTGGTAAAGGGGGATTGAATACAGGGAAATGGGTGCTGTGGTGGGAAGAATAATTGTCCCCAGTGATGACTACATTCTAATCCCTGGAGTCTGTGACTATGTATGTTATAGGGGAAGGGACTGAAGGGGAAGATGGAGCTCATGGGGAGACAGCCTGGACTGTCCCACTGGGCTCAGTGTAATCACAAGGGTGCACATGAAAGGAGGAGGAAGAGGGGAGTGGGGATTAGAGCAGTCCAGTGGAAGTCTTCACCAGCTTTGAAGGTGGAGGAAGGCCAAGAGCCATGAATGCAGGTGGCCTATAGAGGCTGGAAAAGTCAAGGAACTGATTCTCCAGAGTCTCCAGAGGAAACGAAGCCCTGCAGATGCCTTGATTTTAGCCCAGGAAAAATAGGGTCCAATTTCTGTCTCCAGTACTGGAAGGTGTCAGTGTGGTCTCTCCTGCTTCCATGCTTCTGATAATTTTGTACAGCAGCAACAGGAAACCAACACTGGAACCCAGGTCAAGGACAAGTTAAGAAACAACCCAAGGAAAGCCAGGCATGGTGGCAGGCGCATGTAATCCTAGCGACTCAGGAGGCTGAGGGCAGGAGAATCACTTGAACCCAGGAAACAGAGGTTGCAGTGAGCCTAGACCACACCACTTCACTCCAGCCTGGGTGAAGGAGTGAGACTCTGTCTCCAAAATTAATTAATTAATTAAAGAAACCAAACAAGGAGAAGGTTGGCTACCCTGAGATCAGCAAGGGTGGGATGATGATGCCACCACCAGGCTCCATCCACATAGGGAGGGGTTGATACTCCTCCAACCAGCACCAGGAGCCAGCCTATGGAAGCTGGCACCATGGAGAAGGCACAGGCATGGCAAGAGTGGCTCCCAGTCCCGACCAGGAACAGGGTGTGTGGACACTGGTGCCTGCCTTATTCATCAGTTCATACCTTCTGCCAAGGATTGCAATTCATCCAAAAGAGATTGAACAAGGCTGATAAGAGCCTGGATGTGCAGCCTATCCTGGTTCCTCTTTCACCCCCACATAAACAGCAGGAAAGACGTTAGTGTGAAATAGATACAACACCCCAAGAGATGAGGCTAAGCCCAGTGGGAAGGGAATCAGAGGCTACTAGAGACAGAGGGACAGAGAAGAG
The DNA here is from genome assembly GCF_000001405.40 of Homo sapiens. Lineage (NCBI taxonomy): Eukaryota > Metazoa > Chordata > Mammalia > Primates > Hominidae > Homo > Homo sapiens. The sequence continues at coordinate 135,888 of NW_016107312.1, read as the reverse complement.
GGAGGGAGACAGATGGAAGGACCTGCACCAGGAGTTATGGGCACAGAAAAGAACATGAAGACACAGAGAGGAAGGAGAGAGACAGACACCAGCAAGGGGAAGCCTCACTCATTCTAGGTGCCATGGATGGGATGATAAAGAGAGACACCTTCTAAACTCACAACCTCTCTTCTTAGGAGTCCACAGAAAACCTTCCCTCCTGGCCCACCCAGGTCCCCTGGTGAAATCAGAAGAGACAGTCATCCTGCAATGTTGGTCAGATGTCAGGTTTGAGCACTTCCTTCTGCACAGAGAGGGGAAGTATAAGGACACTTTGCACCTCATTGGAGAGCACCATGATGGGGTCTCCAAGGCCAACTTCTCCATCGGTCCCATGATGCAAGACCTTGCAGGGACCTACAGATGCTACGGTTCTGTTACTCACTCCCCCTATCAGTTGTCAGCTCCCAGTGACCCTCTGGACATCGTCATCACAGGTGAGAGTGTCCGGACATTCTCATTGTCATTGGGCTGCAGAGTGAATGATCCACGACTTGGAACCCCCAGGTAGTTGTAAGGAAGATGAGCTTGGTATTCTTATGGAGAGAGACTGACTTGCTGAGGTTTGTACCAACAGAGACAGAGAAACAGGAGACACAAGTACAGACCAGGTGTCATAACGGAGGACAGACACAGGGGCCATACAGGGAGTTAGAAAAGACAGAAAGAGTTAAAGGAGACAGACAGACAGACATGTCCCAGAGAGAGGTGTCCCTCCATGCTGACTTTGCTCACAGACCTGGCACAGGATAGAAGTTTCATTTCTGTTTTACCTCCACAAAGTGTTCTCTACCAGGAGAACCCAAGGACACCCATATTTCTGACCTGAGTTGGGCCCTGTGGCCTCAGGCCTTGTGGCACCTACAGGCCATGTTTATTCTGACACCTCTGCCTTCCATGTAATGGAGAGTAACCGTCCCAGGATATCATGGCCCCAGAACACCAACCCCTGTATGCTGTGTGAACTTGTGGTCTCCAGACTGGATTCTGAGGCTCACATTCCAAATAACCCCACATATGAAAGGATCACTGAGAGGCACAGAGAGAAATCAGGAACACCAAAAAGCAAAGACATAAACACACAGAGAATGGGCCAGAGGAAGGAGATTGAGAGACTCACTGACACATAAAGAGAGAGAAAAGAGGGCAGAGGAGTGGTGAGAATGATGGAAGGGAGCAGAGAAAAGCACTAAAATTAGAGTCCTGAGGGAGAGGCACAAGGACATAGAAAGATGGAGATGTGGGGATGAACTGCAGAGATTCCAAAGAGAACTAGAGAGACCGAGAGGCAGAGCAAGACAGATGATAGATGGATAGATATAGATAGATGATAAATAGGTAGATGATAGATAATAGGTTAAAGATACATAGATGATGATTGATTGATTCATTAATAGATAATACATAGAGATGATGATGATGAAGACAGATAGATAATACGTACAGATAGAGAGGCAGACAGAAATCATAGAGAGAGAGATGATACATACATATAAATAACAGATGATTGATGGATAGATAGACAACTGATAGATACATAGATGATATATAGATATAGATGACAGGTAGAGAATTTGTAGATAGGCACCGAATAGATAAATAGATAGATCGACAGATAATAGATAGAAATATGCAGAAAGTTATGAACAGGACACAACGTGAGAAACTTAGAATTTAAAAAAGTAACATCAAGTCAACCAATCCAAGGAGAGTCAGAGAGAATAAAAGAATCCAAAAAGGGAAAACATATCTAGAGGTGGGGAAGCGAGGTCAGAGACCTAGAGAGACAGAGAAGGTGGAAGGAGGAAATAGACATGAAGAGAGATGGGGTGGAGGGTGAGAGAGAGAGAGAGAGAGCATTAGGTCATAGAGCAGGGGAGTGAGTTCTCAGCTCAGGTGAAGGGAGCTGTGACAAGGAAGATCCTCCCTGAGGAAAATGCCTCTTCTCCTTCCAGGTCTATATGAGAAACCTTCTCTCTCAGCCCAGCCGGGCCCCACGGTTTTGGCAGGAGAGAGCGTGACCTTGTCCTGCAGCTCCCGGAGCTCCTATGACATGTACCATCTATCCAGGGAGGGGGAGGCCCATGAACGTAGGTTCTCTGCAGGGCCCAAGGTCAACGGAACATTCCAGGCCGACTTTCCTCTGGGCCCTGCCACCCACGGAGGAACCTACAGATGCTTCGGCTCTTTCCGTGACTCTCCCTATGAGTGGTCAAACTCGAGTGACCCACTGCTTGTTTCTGTCACAGGTGAGGAAACCCCATATCTGTCTCATGTCCTATGATCCTAGAGCCTTAGCTGAGGAGCTTCCTGCTGATGATGGAGAGAAGCATGGACAGATGCAGAGAGAAGACGAAGCTTGGGTGTGAGGGAGGGATCAGGGCACAGGATGGCAGACAGGGCACCTCCAAACCCTCCTACACGGCCTGCATGAAGGCCCGCGGCCAGGGCTCCAGGCACACAGGCAGATGGAGAAAACGGTCAGGAGAGACCCAGAGGAGAGAGACTGGGCTCAGTTTGGGAAGATCAGAGGTTCCCTCAGCCCCTCAACATTATCCATTTCCCAGAAGCCCATCCTGGCCTCTCACCCACACAGGGATGTCATCACCAGCAACCCCTACACCCTTTACTTTTGTTTGAAGAAATATTTATTGAGGATAAATATACCTATATAGCTTACCACCTTTAACATTTTTTTTTTTTTTGAGGCAGAGTCTAGCTCTGTCCCCTATGCTGGAGTGCAGTGGCACAATCTCAGCTCACTGCAATTTCCGCCTCCTGGGTTCAAGCGATTCTCTTGCCTCAGCCACCTGAGTAGCTGGTGCTACAGGCGCGCACCACCACGCCAGGCTACTTTTTGTATTTTTAGTAGAGAGGTGGTTTCACCATGTTGGTCGAGCTGGTCTCCAACTCCTGACCACGTGATCCACCCGCATGTGCCTCCCAAAGTGCTGGGATTACAGGCATGAGCCACCACGCCCAGCCACATTTACCATTTTTAAGTGTAAAGTCTAGTGGTCATAAATACATTTATATATATATATATTTTTTTTTTTTTTTTACCCTCCACCCTTTTCTTCCTGGCCTCTGGAAGCCATCATTCTACTCTCTACCTTCATGAGATCCACCTTTTAGCTCTGTATATGGGTGAGAAATGGGAATCTTTGTAATGACTTCCAGTTCCATCCATGTGGCTGCAAATATCAGGATGTTATTCTTTCTATGGATGAGTAGTCTCCACTGTGCGTATGTACTACATTCTCTCTATCCATTCATCCACTGATGGGCAGGTAGGTTGACTCCACATCTTGGCTACTGTGAACAGTGCTGCACCAATCATACGAGTGCAGATATCACTTCGATATATTGATTTACTTTCCTTTGGATATAAACCCAGTAGTGAAATTGCTGGATACTATGAAAGTTCTCTTTTTAGTTTTTCGTTTGTTGTTTTGTTTTTGTTTTTGAGACAGTTTCCCTCTGTGCCCAGGCTGGAGTACAAGTGATGTCATCTTGGCTCATTGCAACCTCTGCCTCCTGGGTTCAAATGATTTTCCTGCCTCAGCCTCCCTAGTAGCTGGGATTACAGGTGCACGCCACCATGCCTGGCTACTTTTTGTTTTTTTTAGTATAGATGCGGTTTCCCCATGTTGGCTGGGCTGCTCTCAAACTCATGACCTCAACTGAGATGCCCGCCTCAGTCTCCCAAAGTGCTGGGATTACAGGCCTGATCCACCACACCCAACCTCTTTTTAGTTCTTTAAAGGACTTCCATACTTTTCTCCGTAATCGCTGTACTAATTTACACTCCTCCCAACAGGGTACCAGGGTTCTCCTTTCTCTACCACCTTGCCAGCATTTCTTTTGCCTGTCTTGCAGCTAAAAGCCATTTTATTTTATTTCATTTTATTTTGAATGGAGTTTTGCTCTTCTCACCCAGGCAGGAGTGCAGTGGCGCTATCTCGGCTCACCACAACCTCCACCTCCCAGGTTCAAGCGATTCTCCTGCCTCAGCCTCCCGAGTAGCTGGAATTACAGGCACACTCCACCACGCCCGACTAATTTTTGTATTTTTAGTAGAGACAGTGTTTCTCTATGTGGGTCAGACTGGTCTCAAACTCCTGACCTTATGAGATTCACCCACCTCAGGCTCTCAAAGTTCTAGGATGACAGACGTGAGCCACCACGCCCGGCCTAAAAGCCATTTTAATGGGGTGAGATGAAAACTCACTTTGATTTTAATTTGCGTTTCTCTGATGATGAGTGATACTGAGCACTTTTTAGTATGTGGGGAAATTTCATGTCTTCTGCTCCTTTTTCAATTAAATCATTTGTTTTATTGAGTTGTTTGAGCTTCTTATATTTCTAGTTATTAATCCCATCTCAGATGCATAGTTTGCACATATTTGCTCCCAATCTGTGGGTTGTCTCTTCACTTTGTTGGTTTATTTTTAGCAGTGCAGAAGTTGCTTAGTTTGAGGTAATCCCAATGGTCTATTTTTGCTTCGATTACTTGTGTTTTCAAGGTTTAAAACAAAATGTCTTTCTTCAGACAAATGTCCTGGAGCATTTCCCCAATATTTTGTTCTACGTGTTTCATAGGTTCAGGCCTTAGACTCACATCTTTAATCCATTTTCATTTGATTTTTGTGTATGGTGACAGGTAGAGGTGCAGTTTCATTCCTCTGCATGTCGATGTCCAGGTTTCCCTGCACTGTTTATTGAAAAGACTGTCCTTTCCTGATTGTGAGTTCTTGGCACCTTTGTCAAAGTCCATTGGATGGGCTGGGCTTGGTGGCTGACACCTGCAATTTCAGCACTTTGGGAGGCCGAGGCGGGTGGATTACCTGAGGCCAGGAGTTCAAGATCAGTCTGGACGACGTGATGAAACATCGTCTCCACTAAAAATATAAAAATTAGCTGAGCATGGTGGTCAGCACCTGTAATACCACTACTCAGGAGTTTGAGGCAAGAGAATGATTGAACCCAGGAGGCTGAGGTTGCAGTGAACTGAGATTGCACCTCTGCACTCCAGCCTGAGTGACAGAGCAAGACTCCATCTCAAAAGAAAAAATAAAAAACCATTGGATGTAAATGCATGGAATATATCTGTGTTATTCATTCTGCTCCGTTGTTCTATGTCCCTTTCTTTATGCCAATGTCATGCTGTTTTGCTTACTACAGCTCTGTAACATATTTTGAGATCAGGTAGTGTGATGCTCCTGTTTTCTCTTTATACCTTGAAGTCTCAAGACAGTGGGCGTCACATAAAAAAATTATGGAAAAAAGGATCCCAGGACTCCCAGGGCCCAATATTAGATAACAGAGTGTTGGCCATGAACCATCCTCAAAGATTTCCACTGAGTAGAGGACAGACACCCTCATTTCCTCACCTCTCTCCTGTCTCATGTTCTAGGAAACCCTTCAAATAGTTGGCCTTCACCCACTGAACCAAGCTCCAAAACCGGTGAGTACAGAACCCTCTTATATCCGCTTTTGGAAACCTGGGGAGGTGGAAACCTTGGATTCAGGCGTTGACTCAGCATCTCACAGCTCTGACATTGTACCCCTGTCTTCCACCATCTCCGAACTCCAGATACTCCTACAGCGAAAGGGATCTGGGTCCAACACAGGGCTCAGTGAAATCTCTTCATCTCTCATTTTATGGAGCTGAGACTTCCTACAAGCTAGAAGAATGATTGCCAATCTGACATCCTTCTCAGGAAAAATGCAATGTTTGTTCTGCCTGCATTCCTAACTGGAGGATAAATTCCTGGAGACTTGAGAGAGGGAAGGGAAGGGAACATCTGATGAGGGCGAGGTGTTTTAGAGAAGTTCCACTTGCCAAGGAATGAGCTCCTATAGGTCATGAAGCAACCCTGGCTGACTCAGCAGAGAAAGAGCCTTGCTGTAACAGAGAACAGAGCTCATGCACGCACACTTCGACTCACTGACTCATTCAGCCACGGCCCCATGCTCAGGCTGTGCACTGTGGAAGCTTTTCCTATTGTTGCCATAACAAATTTCCACAAGATTCGTGGGTGAAAACAAAACGGTTTTTTAATTATCTTACAGTGCTGTAGCTCAAAGTATGAAGTGCATCTCACTGGGCTAAAATCAAGGTGACAGCAAGGCTGCCTTCCCTCTGAGGATTCCAGGCAAGAATCTGCTTCTCACTTTTCTCAGCTTCTAGAGGCTCCCACATTCCTTCGCTCCTGGTCCCCTTCCTCCTTCCTCAAAGCCCACAAAGACTGGTCACATCTCACATGGCATCACTCAGACCCTTCTTCCTTACCACACCTCTTTCTCTGAATGCTGCTCTCCCTTCTTCCTCATCTTTTGAAAACTTGGGGATTCTATTGGGTTCACCAAGATGAAAATCCATCATAATCTCCCGGAAATCATTCAGGATACCCTTGTTTTAAGTTCAGCTGATTAGCAACCATAATTCCATCTGCAATCTTCATTCCTCCTTTCCATGTAAAATAAGATATTCACAAGCTATGGAGGCTAGGACAGGGACATTTTGGGGTGGGACAGCATTCTCCTGCCTTCCACAAACAGTGAACAAGATGCATTTGGCCTCTGCTCTTTGGACACTGATATTGCAGATGGTTAAATGGGAGGGCAGAAAATGAATGCACAAGTGGACCAATAAATGAATGATCCATTGGGAAGCATCTGTGTATGAAATCTATTTGTTTGTTTCTTCATTTGTTTATTGAGACAGAGTCTCCCTCTGTCTTCCAGGCTACAGTGCAGTGTCACCATCTTGGCTCACTGCAACCTGCACCTTCTGGATCCAAGTGATTCTCCTGCGTCAGCCTCTCAAGTAGCTGGGATTACAGGCAACTGCCACCATGCCCGGCTAATTCTTTTTGTATATTTTTTGTAGAGGATGTTTCACCATCTTCGCCAAGCTTCTCTGAAACTCCCAACCTCAAGTGATCCGACCGTCTCAGCATCCTAAAGTACTGGGATAACTGGCGTGAGCCACTGTGCCCAGCCAGAATTTAAAATAAATAATACATAATGCTGAGTGTATGATTTTGGGTGACAGAGAAGATCTCACTAATCAGATATTTGTGACATTAATGAAAAACACGGATTGAACCCCTGAAAGATTGGCGGAAGGATTTTCCACACACAGCTGTCAGCCGTGAAGGCAGAAAGCTGAAAACAATCTGATGTGGAAGGAAGAGGCTCTGCCTCAAATGCTGGGAATGAGGTGGGGAGAATGACAAGACGACTGTGGAGAGACGGAGAGCACACTGGGTACACAGGAAACTAAGGAGCAACAAGGAGTGTGTGTTTGACACTCACAGCCATTGGATTCACCTCGGGGTAGCCAGGAATCCCTACATGATTAATAGTGACTGACATGAAAATAAGGGAGGCCCAGGTGCATAACTGGAATCTAGGAGACTGTGGAAAAGGCAATTCCCGCCCCACTGGTGAAATGTGGTGCTGATTTAGACCCTAACTGGGTGAAGCAGATGGATATAAGCTATGCTTGTGAGGTGGAATCATTGGCTGGAAAGGCTTGCTGGGTATGATTTTCCTAGTTGTCTAATCCTCGCTTAATTTCTTTCTGAGCTTTATTCCTACTACACATAAATCAATACCTGGCAAAGGAGTGACAGATATATGAGGGGTGGTGGAAATGAAGGGACCTATTATAGCATAATATACAAGTCTGTGAACGGTGGCTCACGCCTGTAACCCAGCACTGCAGGAGGCCAAGGCGGGTGGATCACATGAAGTCAGCAGTTCGAGACCAGCCTGGCCAACATGGTGAAACCCTGTCTCTAGGAAAAACACAAAAATTAGCCGAGCATGGTGGTGCATCCCTGTAATCCCAGCTCCTACTCTGGAGGATGAAGCAGGAGAATGACTTCAACCCAGGAGGTGGAGGTTGCAGTGAGTGGAGATTGCATCACTGCACTCCAGCCTGGGTGACACAAGGAGACTCCGTCTCAAAAAATAAAAATAAGAAATGCATAAATATAAATATAATATAACACATGCAAATGAGAAAGGGACCTGAATTCCAATCATGATTTTTCTATTTCTCTATAATTACTTCTTTGATCCTTTATCTTATCCATTAGGCAATGAGCCTAAAACCTCTTCCCTATTTGGCTTTCTGTGAGCATGAGATCATATAGAAAATGTGAAAGCCCGCTGAATCCTCCAGCACAGATCCTGGAATACACAAAGTGCTCTGTTCATCACAAGAAAACATGCCCTCTCACCCAAATCCCCCACCTCACCCCTACTTCCAATCATCTGTGGAGATTCAGATAGGCCATGGGGAGGTAAATTCTAATACTCCTTGGAGTGAGTCCAGATCTTGGAATCAGAGATTAGCGTCAGCAGTAGCTCCTGCTCCCCTTTCCTACTAATTCACAGGAGGACAGGTGGTATTGAAGCAATAGATGGCCGAGGGGGTGGTCCTTCCCCCAGCCTCTCGGGTAGAACAGCAACCTAACATGTGTCTCCTGAGATCACAAAGAGTAGCACGTTTCACATGGGCTTCAACACTGTTTCCTGGCCATTTGACATAAGAGAATTCTACTTCGCTTTTTTTATCTTGATTTCACTTTTGTTTCCTTTTCTTGGAGAATGCAAGTTGTTTGACTCAAGAATGCCGTGGATGTAGAAATCCTAAAGCACAGTCGCTGTGTATCAATCCCAGTGCAGTCTTCCCAGAGAAGACTCTAAACACCTCCTGGACTGCACCTGGGCCTATGCCAATTCCTATCACTCACCGTCACTCCAGGGAGACAGAACACACAGAGAATACATTACACAGGCAGGTTCATTACTAACAGATAAGCAGCGAGTGACAACAGAAGCCTACATTTCAATGTGAGCCAGTCCCTCAAGGCTCAGAAAAGCTGCTCGGGACATATGGAGTCACCCCATTTGCAGTGTAGCTGGGGGAAGCCAGAAAGCAGCCCAGCCTGGGTTTTGTACCCTGGAGCCACAGGAAGCACTCAGCTAAAGCACTGCATGACGCCTTCCTCCAGGAAGAACAGGAAGACAGCCCAGGCTGTTCTGAGACATTCCTCCTGATCTCAGGTCGTTGCTGTCTTAGTTTTTTTTTTTGTTGCTCTGAAGGAACACTTGAGCCTCGGTAACTTCTAAAGAAAAGAGATCGGTTTGCCTCACAGTTCTGCAGGCTGTACTGGAAGCATGGCACCAGAATCTATTTCTCGTGATGGCCTCAGGCTGCTCCCACTCTGGCAGAAGGGAAGGAGGGTCTGTCTGTGCAGAGACCACAGAGATCACACGGCAAGAGAGAGAGTAAGGGGGAGAGGGAGCAATGGAGCTTCCAAGCTCTTTTTAACAACCAGCTGTCCAGGAACTAACAGAGGGGGAACTTGCTAACCCCGTCTCCTTGGGACAGCATTGATCTGTTCATGATGGATCCACCTCCATGACCCAAACACCTCTGAAGAGGCCCAACCTCCCACAATGGGGGTGAAATTTCAATGTGAGGTTTGAAGGGGTCAAACATCTCAACTAAAGTAGTTGTATCCTCAGCACGTTCTATGGTTACTATGAGAGCTATAATTGAGAAAGCAGGGGAAAGCTAGGTCTCCCGCCATTTGGGTGCTTGTCCTAAAGAGACGTTGTATGTGGTTACCTGCCAATCAAGAAATGCGAGACAATTCATAAAGAGGAACTGCTATGATTAGCTTCTTATTGGTGTCTCCTCTTCTTCCAGGTAACCCCAGACACCTGCATGTTCTGATTGGGACCTCAGTGGTCAAAATCCCTTTCACCATCCTCCTCTTCTTTCTCCTTCATCGCTGGTGCTCCAACAAAAAAAGTAAGTCTCACGAAGCAGAGGCCAGAGAGCTCAGGGCCATGTGGGGAAGCAGGATGGGAGCACTCAGGTGTGTGTTCCTCACCAGCAGGATGGTCCCTGGCCCAAGACAGGAGCCACAGAGGCAGGACTTTCTAGAGAGAGCACCAGATTCCCTTCCCCTGCCTTCAGCTCACAGACCGTTGCCTGATTCTGAACTGTACCCTCACGTCCCCTGCAGCCACTCACATCCAGGAGAAGGTTCCATGACAGGCAGAAAGTGGGAGATAGAATCAATGGGATGGGAACTCAGAGCTATTCATGGGATGGGTCCTTGAACTCAGAGAGATAGAATGTCTGAGTCTGCTGTTGGCAACTGAGGGACCTCAGGCACCTATGGCCTCCCCCTGTTTGTTGGTATCTGCTTATGAAATGAGGACCCAGAAGTGCCCTCCGAGCTCTTTTGTTGACTTCCGTCTTCTACAGATGCTGCTGTAATGGACCAAGAGCCTGCAGGGAACAGAACAGTGAACAGCGAGGTAGGTGCTCCTCGGCCCAGCCTCGTGGCTAGTCTTATTCCCAAAGAGTCCTGAAAAATGTGAGCACCCTCCCTCACTCAGCATTTCCCTCTCTCCAGGATTCTGATGAACAAGACCATCAGGAGGTGTCATACGCATAATTGGATCACTGTGTTTTCACACAGAGAGAAATCACTCGCCCTTCTGAGAGGCCCAAGACACCCCCAACAGATACCAGCATGTACATAGAACTTCCAAATGCTGAGCCCAGATCCAAAGTTGTCTTCTGTCCACGAGCACCACAGTCAGGCCTTGAGGGGATCTTCTAGGGAGACAACAGCCCTGTCTCAAAACCGGGTTGCCAGCTCCCATGTACCAGCAGCTGGAATCTGAAGGCATCAGTCTTCATCTTAGGGCATCGCTCTTCCTCACACCACGAATCTGAACATGCCTCTCTCTTGCTTACAAATGTCTAAGGTCCCCACTGCCTGCTGGAGAGAAAACACACTCCTTTGCTTAGCCCACAATTCTCCATTTCACTTGACCCCTGCCCACCTCTCCAACCTAACTAGCTTACTTCCTAGTCTACCTGAGGCTGCAATCACACTGAGGAACTCACAATTCCAAACATACAAGAGGCTCCCTCTTAACACAGCACTTAGACACGTGCTGTTCCACCTCCCTTCAGACTATCTTTCAGCCTTCTGCCAGCAGTAAAACTTATAAATTTTTTAAATAATTTCAATGTAGTTTTCCCGCCTTCAAATAAACATGTCTGCCCTCATGGTTTCGGTAACGAGACTCTTCTCTTGCCTAAGGCTTCCGGTGTTATCATTACCATGTCCACATAACCCCATCTGTTCTCCATTGGGTTCTCAGCCCTGGACTCTGAGCTTCTGGAAGCAGAATGGAGCCTGAATTGTCTCTGAGACTCCAATTTCCATCCAAAGATACAGCACATAGGAGGCTCCAAGGATCGTGAATCACATGAACAAGTGATATTCTTACTCTCTGCAGACCTGGAAAGCTGGCAGAGTCATTCCACGATGAAACATTTGTAGAGTCATAGGCCTTGTTAGTCTCATCTCCACGGGGACACATATCAACATATCATCTTTCATAATATAAATATACAGTCGGTCCTCCATATCTGTGGGGTTTACAGGTGTTTATTGAACCAACAATAAATCAAAAATATTTTGAGAAAAAAATCCCCGAAGTTTCAAGAAGCAAAAAACTATGTTGAATCGACACAAATTGAGTGGCGTGTAGGCTGTGTCAGGAATTATAAGTAATCAAGAGATGATTTCATGTATACAGGAGGATGTGCATGGGTTCTATGCAATTGCTATGCTATTTTTTTTTTTTGAGACAGTCTCACTCTCTCACCCAGGCTGGAGTGCAGTGGCGTGATCTCAACTCACTGCAACCTCCGCCTCCCAGGTTCAAGCGATTGTCTTCCCTCAGCCTCCCCAGTAGCCTCCCCTAGGATTACAGGCACGTGCCACCATGCACAGATAAATTTTTTTGTGTGTGTATTTTTAGTAGAGACGGGGTTTCAGAATGTTGGACCAGCTGGTCTTGAACTCCTGACCTTGTGATCTACCCAGCTCAGCCTCCCAAAGTGCTGGGATTACGGGCGTGAGCCACGGTGCCCAGCTTCACTATGCCATTTCATGCAAGGGGCTTGAGCATCTGCAGATTTTGGTATCTGAATGGGGATCCTGGAACCAATCACCCAGGTATAGTGAAGGACCATGGTATATAATTTTTATTTGTCAATCTTAAAAATAAAGCATAAAAAATTTACAACAACAAGATAAAAAATAAGAAGTGTTTTTATAGTGTGAGGATAAGTTTAGATTTATTTTTTCCTACGTGTAACCCTATGGTCCTGTGTTATTTGTTGAGAAAATATTCTATTCCACCTTAAACTACATGGCAGCCTTTGTCAACTATAAAGGGACTGTGTATCCACAGATGTATTTTAGACACAGTTTTCTGTCCAGTGGTTCTCTGTATCCCCTCTCATGAGGATGCTGCATTTTATATAAACTTATAGAACCCCTTAAAATTTGGTAACCTGAGTCCTCTGATTTGTTATTATAGGTTATTTAGTTTGCTTTTTTTTTTTTCTTGAGACAGACTCTTCCTCTGTCACCCAAGCTGGAGTTCAGTGGCTTGAGCTCAGCTCACTGCAACCTCCGCCTCCCAGGTTCAAGCTATTCTGATGCCTCTGGTTTAGTACTAGAAACTCAAGCAGGAAAATTAGAATGGCTTCTTGTCACAATTACTCTGATAATGTTAATAATACCTGTTAGACATTTTGCACATTACATATGAAGAAGAGTTTGAATCTCAGATAAAAACAAAAATACATCAAAAATCTTTAATGTAAGCACAGAATTCAATCATCTCGTGTATGAGAGGTTGGATCTGAGACGTCTTTTGAGTCTGGTCGTAGTGAAGGACGCAAGGTGTCAATTCTAGTGAGAACAATTTCCAGGAAGCCATGTTCCGCTCTTGAGCGAGCACCCACTGGGCCTCATGCAAGGTAGAAAGAGCCTGCGTACGTCACCCTCCCATGATGTGGTCAACATGTAAACTGCATGGGCAGGGCGCCAAATAACATCCTGTGCGCTGCTGAGCTGAGCTGGGGCGCGGCCGCCTGTCTGCACAGACAGCACCATGTCGCTCATGGTCGTCAGCATGGCGTGTGTTGGTGAGTCCTGGAAGGGAATCGAGGGAGGGAGTGCGGGGATGGAGATCGGGGCCCAGAGTTGGAGATATAGGCCTGGAAGTGGAGTTATGGGCCTAGAGATGGAGTGATGGGCCTAGAAGTGGAGATCTGGGCCTGGAGTGGAGATATGGGCCTGGAGGTTGAGATATGGGCCTGCAGTAGAGATATGGGCTTGTAGTGGAGACATGGGCCTGGAGATGGAGATATGGGCCTGGAGATGGAGATATGGGCCTGCAGTAGAGATAGGGGCCTGGAGTGGAGATATGGGCCTGGAGTGGAGATATGGGCCTGAAGTGGAGATATGGGCCTGGAGGTGGAGATATGGGCCTGGAGGTGGAGATATGGGCCTGGAGTGGAGATATGGGTCTGGAGGTGGAGATACGGGCCTGCAGTAGAGATATGGGCCTGGAGTGGAGATATGGGCCAGGAGTGGAGTTATGGGCCTAGAGGTGGATATCTGGGCCTGGAGTGGAGATATGGGCCTAGGAAGGAGATATGGGCCTGGGTGTGGAGATATGGGACTGGAGAGGTGATATGGGCCTGGAGTGGAGATATGGGCTTAGGGTGGAGTTCTGGGCCTGGGGCGGAGATATGGGACTGGATTGGAGATAGGGGCCTAGGGTGGAGATCTGAGCCTGGATTGGCGATATGGGCCTAGGGTGGAAATATCAGCCTGGAGTGGAGATATGGGCTTGGGGTGGGGATATGGGCCTGGAAACTGGGTCTCTGCACAGCCGACAGCCCTGTTCTTGGGTGCAGGTAGGCACTGAGGGTGAGTTTAACTTCAGCCCAGGAAGGGCCTGGCTGCCAAGACTCACAGCCCAGTGGGGGCAGCAAGGGAGGGCTGGTTCGCCTGCAGATGGATCGTCCATCATGATCTTTCTTTCCAGGGTTCTTCTTGCTGCAGGGGGCCTGGCCACATGAGGGTGAGTCCTTCTCCAAACCTTCGGGTGTCATCTCCCCACATAAGAGGATTTTCCTGAAACAGGAGGGAAGTCCTGTCGGGGAGTCTCTCATAAACTAGGAAGAGAGGACCCTGGGGTGCTCAGCCCACATTTCTGACCTCGCCTCCCTGGCCTCTCAACCCCTTGGCAGAGTCAAGTTCTGTGGGGACCAGGGTTAGACTGGGGTGCTCAAAGCTGGGGTGTGTGGTTGGGAAGTGGTAGGAACAGCAGATCCTCTGAGGACAAAGGTGTTACTCACACACTTCAGCGTTTCCATGATGGTAGGGGCTGCAGTGTGGCTGCTGTCATTCTACCAGAAGAGGTGGGAAACCACAGCCATGGCCCTGACATTCCAAATCCTCTGATGGGGGCTCAGTTGTTTATTTTCGTTCAGGCATCCGCTGATATCCATTCACAAAGGACATGCCCTCCACCTCATGTCTACCCTGTGTTGTTTTATGTGAGTAATCTTACAGTATCAAAATCTAGTAGGAGTCTCTTTACTCAGCACTTGCTCAAAGTTCTCAGCTGAGGCTTTTGTTGTAGGGAGACACCATGTCTTTGCGGGATGGGTCCTTCCTTCAGCCCTGGGCACCAAGGTGTGATAGTAGCCATAGAAACGTGGAAAGCGAGGAGAATCTTCTGAGCACAGGGAGGGAGGGGCAGTTCCACATCCTCCTCTCTAAGGCGGCGCCTCCTTCTCCCCAAGGTGGTCAGGACAAGCCCTTGCTGTCTGCCTGGCCCAGCCTTGTGGTGCCTCTAGGACATGTCATTCTTCGGTGTCACTCTTATCTTGGGTTTAACAACTTCAGTCTGTACAAGGAAGGTGGGGTGCCTGTCCCTGAGCTCTACAACAGAATATTCTGGAACAGCCTTTTCATGGGCCCTGTGACCCCCGCACAACAGGGACATACAGATGTCGGGGTTCACACACACACTCCCCCAGTGGGTGGTCAGCACCCAGCAACCCCCTGGTGATCGTGGTCATAGGTCAGAGGGCTCCTGTCTTGGATTCTCCTTGTCCCACCTCCTGAATCCCAGAGCTTCTGGTGGGCATGTCCTTGAGGGTCCCATCACGCAGGCCCTGACTGTATTTGTGGTAAAGGGGGATTGAATACAGGGAAATGGGTGCTGTGGTGGGAAGAATAATTGTCCCCAGTGATGACTACATTCTAATCCCTGGAGTCTGTGACTATGTATGTTATAGGGGAAGGGACTGAAGGGGAAGATGGAGCTCATGGGGAGACAGCCTGGACTGTCCCACTGGGCTCAGTGTAATCACAAGGGTGCACATGAAAGGAGGAGGAAGAGGGGAGTGGGGATTAGAGCAGTCCAGTGGAAGTCTTCACCAGCTTTGAAGGTGGAGGAAGGCCAAGAGCCATGAATGCAGGTGGCCTATAGAGGCTGGAAAAGTCAAGGAACTGATTCTCCAGAGTCTCCAGAGGGAACAAAGCCCTGCAGATGCCTTGATTTTAGCCCAGGAAAAATAGGGTCCAATTTCTGTCTCCAGTACTGGAAGGTGTCAGTGTGGTCTCTCCTGCTTCCATGCTTCTGATAATTTTGTACAGCAGCAACAGGAAACCAACACTGGAACCCAGGTCAAGGACAAGTTAAGAAACAACCCAAGGAAAGCCAGGCATGGTGGCAGGTGCATGTAATCCTAGCGACTCAGGAGGCTGAGGGCAGGAGAATCACTTGAACCCAGGAAACAGAGGTTGCAGTGAGCCTAGACCACACCACTTCACTCCAGCCTGGGTGAAGGAGTGAGACTCTGTCTCCAAAATTAATTAATTAATTAAAGAAACCAAAGAAGGAGAAGGTTGGCTACCCTGAGATCAGCAAGGGTGGGATGATGATGCCACCACCAGGCTCCATCCACATAGGGAGGGGTTGATACTCCTCCAACCAGCACCAGGAGCCAGCCTATGGAAGCTGGCACCATGGAGAAGGCACAGGCATGGCAAGAGTGGCTCCCAGTCCCCACCAGGAACAGGGTGTGTGGACACTGGTGCCTGCCTTATTCATCAGTTCATATCTTCTGCCAAGGATTGCAATTCATCCAAAAGAGATTGAACCAGGCTGATAAGAGCCTGGATGTGCAGCCTATCCTGGTTCCTCTTTCACCCCCACATAAACAGCAGGAAAGACATTAGTGTGAAATAGATACAACACCCCAAGAGATGAGGCTAAGCCCAGTGGGAAGGGAATCAGAGGCTACTAGAGACAGAGGGACAGAGAAGAGGGAGGGAGACAGATGGAAGGACCTGCACCAGGAGTTAAGGGCACAGAAAAGAACATGAAGACACAGAGAGGAAGGAGAGAGACAGACACCAGCAAGGGGAAGCCTCACTCATTCTAGGTGCCATGGATGGGATGATAAAGAGAGACACCTTCTAAACTCACAACCTCTCTTCCTAGGAGTCCACAGAAAACCTTCCCTCCTGGCCCACCCAGGTCGCCTGGTGAAATCAGAAGAGACAGTCATCCTGCAATGTTGGTCAGATGTCAGGTTTGAGCACTTCCTTCTGCACAGAGAAGGGAAGTTTAAGGACACTTTGCACCTCATTGGAGAGCACCATGATGGGGTCTCCAAAGCCAACTTCTCCATCGGTCCCATGATGCAAGACCTTGCAGGGACCTACAGATGCTACGGTTCTGTTACTCACTCCCCCTATCAGTTGTCAGCTCCCAGTGACCCTCTGGACATCGTCATCACAGGTGAGAGTGTCCGGACATTCTCATTGTCATTGGGCTGCAGAGTGAATGATCCACGACTTGGAACCCCCAGGTAGTTGTAAGGAAGATGAGCTTGGTATTCTTATGGAGAGAGACTGACTTGCTGAGGTTTGTACCAACAGAGACAGAGAAACAGGAGACACAAGTACAGACCAGGTGTCATAACGGAGGACAGACACAGGGGCCATACAGGGAGTTAGAAAAGACAGAAAGAGTTAAAAGAGACAGACAGACAGACATGTCCCAGAGAGAGGTGTCCCTCCATGCTGACTTTGCTCACAGACCTGGCACAGGTTAGAAGTTTCATTTCTGTTTTACCTCCACAAAGTGTTCTCTACCAGGAGAACCCAAGGACACCCATATTTCTGACCTGAGTTGGGCCCTGTGGCCTCAGGCCTTGTGGCACCTACAGGCCATGTTTATTCTGACACCTCTGCCTTCCATGTAATGGAGAGTAACCGTCCCAGGATATCATGGCCCCAGAACACCAACCCCTGTATGCTGTGTGAACTTGTGGTCTCCAGACTGGATTCTGAGGCTCACATTCCAAATAACCCCACATATGAAAGGATCACTGAGAGGCACAGAGAAAAATCAGGAACACCAAAAAGCAAAGACATAAACACACGGAGAATGAGCCAGAGGAAGGAGATTGAGAGACTCACAGACACATAAAGAGAGAGAAAAGAGGGCAGAGGAGTGGTGAGAATGATGGCAGGGAGCAGAGAAAAGCACTAAAATTAGAGTCCTGAGAGAGAGGCACAAGGACATAGAAACATGGAGATGTGGGGATGAATTGCAGAGATTCCAAAGAGAGCTAGAGAGACCGAGAGGCAGAGCAATACAGATGATAGATGGATAGATATAGATAGATGATAAATAGGTAGATGATAGATAATAGGTTAAAGATACATAGATGATGATTGATTGATTCATTAATAGATAATACATAGAGATGATGATGATGAAGACAGATAATACGTACAGATAGAGAGGCAGACAGAAATCATAGAGAGAGAGATGATACATACATATAAATAACAGATGATTGATGGATAGATAGACAACTGATAGATACATAGATGATATATAGATATAGATGACAGGTAGAGAATTTGTAGATAGGCACCGAATAGATAAATAGATAGATCGACAGATAATAGATAGAAATATGCAGAAAGTTATGAACAGGACACAACGTGAGAAACTTAGAATTTAAAAAAGTAACATCAAGTCAACCAACCCAAGGAGAGTCAGAGAGAATAAAACAATCCAAAAACGGAAAACATATCTAGAGGTGGGGAAGCGAGGTCAGAGACCTAGAGAGACAGAGAAGGTGGAAGAAGGAAATAGATATGAAGAGAGATGGGGTGGAGGGTGAGAGAGAGAGAGAGAGAGCATTAGGTCATAGAGCAGGGGAGTGAGTTCTCAGCTCAGGTGAAGGGAGCTGTGACAAGGAAGATCCTCCCTGAGGAAAATGCCTCTTCTCCTTCCAGGTCTATATGAGAAACCTTCTCTCTCAGCCCAGCCGGGCCCCACGGTTCTGGCAGGAGAGAGCGTGACCTTGTCCTGCAGCTCCCGGAGCTCCTATGACATGTACCATCTATCCAGGGAGGGGGAGGCCCATGAATGTAGGTTCTCTGCAGGGCCCAAGGTCAACGGAACATTCCAGGCCGACTTTCCTCTGGGCCCTGCCACCCACGGAGGAACCTACAGATGCTTCGGCTCTTTCCGTGACTCTCCATACGAGTGGTCAAACTCGAGTGACCCACTGCTTGTTTCTGTCATAGGTGAGGAAACCCCATATCTGTCTCATGTCCTATGATCCTAGAGCCTTAGCTGAGGAGCTTCCTGCTGATGATGGAGATAAGCATGGACAGATGCAGAGAGAAGACGAAGCTTGGGTGTGAGGGAGGGATCAGGGCACAGGATGGCAGACAGGGCACCTCCAAACCCTCCTACACGGCCTGCATGAAGGCCCGCGGCCAGGGCTCCAGGCACACAGGCAGATGGAGAAAGCGGTCAGGAGAGACCCAGAGGAGGGAGACTGGGCTCAGTTTGGGAAGATCAGAGGTTCCCTCAGCCCCTCAACATTACCCATTTCCCAGAAGCCCATCCTGGCCTCTCACCCACACAGGGATGTCATCACCAGCAACCCCTACACCCTTTACTTTTGTTTGAAGAAATATTTATTGAGGATAAATATACCTATATAGCTTACCACCTTTAACATTTTTTTTTTTTTTGAGGCAGAGTCTAGCTCTGTCCCCTATGCTGCAGTGCAGTGGCACAATCTCAGCTCACTGCAACTTCCGCCTCCTGGGTTCAAGTGATTCTCCTGCCTCAGCCACCTGAGTAGCTGGTGCTACAGGCGCGCACCACCACGCCAGGCTACTTTTTGTATTTTTAGTAGAGAGGTGGTTTCACCATGTTGGTCGAGCTGGTCTCCAACTCCTGACCACGTGATCCACCCGCATCTGCCTCCCAAAGTGCTGGGATTACAGGCATGAGCCACCACTCCCAGCCACATTTACCATTTTTAAGTGTAAAGTCTAGTGGTCATAAATACATTTATAAATATATATATATATATATGTATGTATATATATATACACACACATATATATACATATATATATGTGTATATATATATATATATATATATATATATATATATATATTTTTTTTTTTTTTTACCCTCCACCCTTTTCTTCCTGGCCTCTGGAAGCCACCATTCTACTCTCTACCTTCATGAGATCCACCTTTTAGCTCTGTATATGGGTGAGAAATGGGAATCTTTGTAATGACTTGCAGTTCCATCCATGTGGCTGCAAATATCAGGATGTTATTCTTTCTATGGATGAGTAGTCTCCACTGTGCGTATGTACTACATTCTCTCTATCCATTCATCCACTGATGGGCAGGTAGGTTGACTCCACATCTTGGCTACTGTGAACAGTGCTGCACCAATCATACGAGTGCAGATATCACTTCGATATATTGATTTACTTTCCTTTGGATATAAACCCAGTAGTGAAATTGCTGGATACTATGAAAGTTCTCTTTTTAGTTATTCGTTTGTTGTTTTGTTTTTGTTTTTGAGACAGTTTCCCTCTGTGCCCAGGCTGGAGTACAAGTGATGTCATCTTGGCTCATTGCAACCTCTGCCTCCTGGGTTCAAATGATTTTCCTACCTCAGCCTCCCTAGTAGCTGGGATTACAGGTGCACGCCACCATGCCTGGCTACTTTTTGGTTTTTTTAGTATAGATGGGGTTTCCCCATGTTGGCTGGGCTGCTCTCAAACTCATGACCTCAACTGAGGTGTCCGCCTCGGTCTCCCAAAGTGCCGGGATTACAGGCATGATCCACCTCACCCAACCTCTTTTTAGTTCTTTAAAGGACTTCCACACTTTTCTCCGTAAAGGCTGTACTAATTTACACTCCTACCAACAGGGTATTAGGGTTCTCCTTTCTCTACCACTTTGGCAGGATTTCCTTTGCCTGTCTTGCAGCTAAAAGCCATTTTACTTTATTTCATTTTATTTTGAGATGGAGTTTCGCTCTTGTCACCCAGGCTGGAGTGCAGTGGTGCGATCTCGGCTCACCACAACCTCCACCTCCCAGGTTCAAGCGATTCTCCTGCCTCAGCCTCCCGAGTAGCTGGAATTACAGGCACACGCCACCACGCCCGACTAATTTTTGTATTTTTAGTAGAGACAGTGTTTCTCCATGTGGGTCAGACTGGTCTCAAACTCCCGACCTTATGAGATTCACCCACCTCAGGCTCTCAAAGATCTAGGATGACAGACGTGAGCCACCACGCCCGGCCTAAAAGCCATTTTAATGGGGTGAGATGAAAACTCACTTTGATTTTAATTTGCGTTTCTCTGATGATGAGTGATACTGAGCAGTTTTTCGTATGTGGGGAAATTTCATGTCTTTTGCTCCTGTTTCAATTAAATCATTTGTTTTATTGAGTTGTTTGAGCTTCTTATATTTCTAGTTATTAATCCCATCTCAGATGCATAGTTTGCACATATTTGCTCCCAATCTGTGGGTTGTCTCTTCACTTTGTTGGTTTATTTTTAGCGGTGCAGAAGTTGCTTAGCTTGAGGTAATCCCAATGGTCTATTTTTGCTTCGATTACTTGTGTTTTGAAGGTTTAAAACAAAATGTCTTCCTTCAGACAAATGTCCTGGAGCATTTCCCCAATATTTTCTTCTACGTGTTTCATAGGTTCAGGCCTTAGACTCACATCTTTAATCCATTTTCATTTGATTTTTGTGTATGGTGACAGGTAGAGGTGCAGTTTCATTCCTCTGCATGTAGATGTCCAGGTTTCCCTGCACTGTTTATTGAAAAGACTGTCCTTTCCTGATTGTGAGTTCTTGGCACCTTTGTCAAAGTCCATTGGATGGGCTGGGCATGGTGACTGACACCTGCAATTTCAGCACTTTGGGAGCCCAAGGCGGGTGGATCACCTGAGGCCAGGAGTTCAAGATTAGTCTGGCCGACGTGATGAAACATCGTCTCCACTAAAAATATATAAATTAGCTGAGCATGGTGGTCAGCACCTATAATACCACTACTCAGGAGTTTGAGGCCAGAGAATTGATTGAACCCAGGAGGCTGTGGTGGCAGTGAACCGAGATTGCACCTCTGCACTCCAGCCTGGGTGACAGAGCGAGACTCCATCTCAAAAGAAAAAAGAAAAAAACATTGGATGTAAATGCATGGATTATATTTGTGTTGTTCATTCTGCTCCATTGTTCTATGTGCCTTTCTTCATGCCAACATCATGCTGTCTTGCTTACTACAGCTCTGTAACATATTTTGAGATCAGGTAGTGTGATGCTCCTGTTTTCTCTTTATACCTTGAAGTCTCAAGACAATGGGCGTCACATACAAAAATTATGGAAAAAAGGATCCCAGGACTCCCAGGGCCCAATATTAGATAACAGAGTGTTGGCCATGAACCAACCTCAAAGATTTCCATTGAGTAGAGGACAGACACCCTCATTTCCTCACCTCTCTCCTGTCTCATGTTCTAGGAAACCCTTCAAATAGTTGGCCTTCACCCACTGAACCAAGCTCTAAAACCGGTGAGTACAGAACCCTCTTATATCCGCTTTTGGAAACCTGGGGAGGTAGAAACCTTCGATGCAGGCATTGACTCAGCATCTCGCAGCTCTGACATTGTACGCCTGTCTTCTACCATCTCCGAACTCCAGATACTCCAACAGCGAAAGGGATCTGGGCCCAACCTAGGGCTCAGTGAAATCTCTTAATCTCTCATTTTATGGAGCTGAGACCTCCTACAAGCTAGAAGAATGATTGCCAATCTGACATCCTTCTCAGGAAAAATGCAATGTTTGTTCTGCCTGCATTCCTAACTGGAGGATAAATTCCTGGGGGCTTGAGAGAGGGAAGGGAAGGGAACATCTGATGAGGGCGAGGTGTTTTAGAGAAGTTCCACTTGCCAAGGAATGAATTACTGTTGGTCATGAAGCAACCCTGGCTGACTCAGCAGAGCAACAGCCTTGCCGTAACAGAGAACGGAGCTCATGCACGCACACTTCGACTCACTGACTCATTCAGCCACGGCCCCATGCTCAGGCTGTGCAGTGCGGAACCTTTTCCTATTGTTGCCATAACAAATTTCCACAAGATTCGTGGGTGAAAACAAAACGGTTTTTTAATTATCTTACAGTGCTGTAGCTCAAAGTAGGAAGTGCATCTTACTGGGCTAAAATCAAGGTGACAGCAAGGCTGCCTTCCCTCTGAGGATTCCAGGCAAGAATCTGCTTCTCACTTGTCCCAGCTTCTAAAGGCTCCCAGTTCCTTGGCTCCTGGTCCCCTTCCTCCTTCCTCAAAACCCACAAAGACTGGTCACATCTCACATGGCATCACTCAGTGCCTTCTTCCTTACCACACCTCTTTCTCTGAATGCTGCTCTCCCTTCTTCCTTATCTTTTGAAAACTTGGGGATTCTATTGGGTTCACCAAGATGAAAATCCCTCATAATCTCCTGGAAATCATCCAGGATACCCTTGTTTTAAGTTCAGCTGATTAGCAACCGTAATTCCATCTACAATCTTCATTCCTCCTTTCCATGTAAAATAACATATTCACAAGGTATGGAGGCTAGGACAGGGACATTTTGGGGTGGGACAGCATTCTCCTGCCTTCCACAAACAGTGAACAAGATGCATTTGGCCTCTGCCCTTGGGACACTGATATTGCAGATGGTTAAATGGGAGGGCAGAAAATGAATGCACAAGTGGATCTATAAATGAATGATCCATTGGGAAGCATCTGTGCATGAAATCTATTTTTTGTTTGTTCTTTTGTTTATTGAGACAGAGTTGCCCTCTGTCTTCCAGGCTACAGTGCAGTGTCACGATCTTGGCTCACTGCAACCTGCTTCTCCTGGATTCAAGTGATTCTCCTGCCTCCGCCTCTCGAGTAGCTGGGATTACAGGCAACTGCCACCGTGCCCGGCTAATTCTTTTTGTATATTTTTTGTAGAGAGGATGTTTCACCACGTTGGCCAAGCTTGTCTGAAACTCCCAACCTCAAGTGATCCGACCGTCTCAGCATGCCAAAGTAATGGGACTACAGGCGTGAGCCACTGTGCCCAGCCAGAATTCAAAATCAATAATAGATAATGCTGAGTGTATGATTTCAGGTGACAAAGAAGGTCTCACTATTCAGATATTTGTGACATTAATGAAAAACACGGATTGAACCCCTGAAAGATTGGCGGAAGGATTTTGCACACACAGCTGTCAGCCGTGAAGGCACAAAGGTGAAAACAATCTGATGTGGAAGGAAGAGGCTCTTCCTCAAATGCTGGGAATGATGTGGGGAGAATGACAAGATGACTGTGGAGAGACGGAGAGCACACTGGGTACACAGGAAACTAAGGAGGAACAAGGAGTGTGTGTTTGACACTCACAGCCATTGGATTCACCTCGGGGTAGCCAGGAATCCCTACATGATTAATATGACTGACATGAAAATAAGGGAGGCTCAGTTGCATAACTGGAATCTAGGAGACCGTGGAAAAGGCAATTGCCGCCCCACTGGTGAAATGTGGTGCTGATTTAGACACTAAATGAATGAAGTAGATGGATATAAGATAGGTTTGTGAGGTAGAATCATTGACTGGAAAGGCTTGCTGGGTTTGATTTTCCTACTTGTTTAATCCTCGCTTAATTAATTTCTTTCTGAGATTTATTCATCCTACACATAAATCAATACCTGGCAAAGGAGTGACAGATATATGAGGGGTGGTGGAAATGAAGAGACCTATTATAGCATAATATACAAGTCTGTGAACGGTGGCTCACGCCTGTAACCCAGCACTGCAGGAGGCCAAGGCGGGTGGATCACATGAAGTCAGCAGTTCGAGACCAGCCTGGCCAACATGGTGAAACCCTGTCTCTAGGAAAAACACAAAAATTAGCCGAGCATGGTGGTGCATCCCTGTAATCCCAGCTCCTACTCTGGAGGATGAAGCAGGAGAATGACTTCAACCCAGGAGGTGGAGGTTGCAGTGAGTGGAGGTTGCATCACTGCACTCCAGCCTGGGTGGCACAAGGAGACTCCGTCTCAAAAAATAAAAATAAGAAATGCATAAATATAAATATAATATAACACACGCAAATGACAAAGGGACCTGAATTCCAATCATGATTTTTCTATTTCTCTATAATTACTTCTTTGATCCTTTATCTTATCCATTAGGCAATGAGCCTAAAACCTCTTCCCTATTTGGCTTTCTGTGAGCATGAGATCATATAGAAAATGTGAAAGTCCGCTGAATCCTCCAGCACAGATCCTGGAATAGAGAAAGTGCTCTGGTCATCACAAAAAAAACTTGCCCACTCACCCAAATCCCCCACCTCACCCCTACTTCCAATCACCTGTGGAGATTCAGGTAGACCATGGGGAGGTAAACATTAACACTCCTTGGAGTGAGTCCAGATCTTGGAATCAGAGATCAGCGACAGCACTAGCTCCTGCTCCCCTTTCCTACTAATTCACAGGAGGACAGGTGGTATTGAAGCAATAGATGGCCGAGGGGGTGGTCCTTCCCCCAGCCTCTCGGGTAGAACAGCAGCCTAATATGTGTCTCCCGAGATCACAAAGAGCAGCAGGTTTCACACGGGCTTCAACACTATTTCCTGGCCGTTTGACATAAGAGAATTCTATTTCGCTTTTTTTATCTTGATTTCACTTTTGTTTTCTTTCCTTGGAGAATGCAAGTTGTTTGATTCAAGAATGCTGTGGATGTAGAAACCCTAAAGCACATTCGCTGTGAATCAATCCCAGTCCAGTCTTCCCAGAGAAGACTCTAAACACCTCCTGGACTGCACCTGGGCCTATGCCAATTCCTATCACTCACCGTCACTCCAGGGAGACAGAACACACAGAGAATACGTTACATAGGCAGGTTCATTACTAACAGATAAGCAGCGAGTGACAACAGAAACCTATATTTCAATGTGAGCCAGTCCCTCAAGGCTCAGAAAAGCTCCTCGGGACATATGGAGTCACCCCATTTGCAGTGTAGCTGCGGGAAGCCAGAAAGCAGCCCAGCCTGGGTTTTGTACCCTGGAGCCACAGGAAGCACTCAGCTAAAGCACTGCATGACGTCCTCCAGGAAGAACAGGAAGACAGCCCAGGGTGTTCTGAGACGTTCCTCCTGATCTCAGGAAGTTGCTGTCTTAGGCCATTTTTGTTGCTCTAAAGGAACACTTGAGCCTCGGTAACTTCTAAAGAAAAGAGATTGGTTTGCCTCACCGTTCTGCAGGCTGTACTGGAAGCATGGCACCAGCATCTATTTCTCGTGACGGCCTCAGGCTGCTCCCACTCTGGCAGAAGGGAAGGAGGGTCTGTCTGTGCAGAGACCACAGAGATCACACGGCAAGAGAGGGAGCAAGGGGGAGGGGGAGTGATGGAGCTTCCAAGCTCTTTTTAACAACCAGCTCTCCGGGAACTAATAGAGGGGGAACTTGCTAACCCCGTCTCCTTGGGACAGCATTGATGTGTTCATGATGGATCCACCTCCATGACCCAAACACCTCTCAAGAGGCCCAACCTCCCACAGTGGGGGTGAAATTTCAATGTGAGGTTTGAAGGGGTCAAACATCTCAACTAAAGTAGTCGTATCCTCAGCACGTTCTATGGTTACTATGAGAGCTATAACTGAAAAAGCAGGAGAAAGCTGGGTCTCCTGCCATCTGGGTGCTTGTCCTAAAGAGATGTTTTATGTGGTTACCTGTCAATCAAGAAATGCGAGACAATTCATAAAGAGGAACTGCTAAGATTAGCTTCTTATTGGTGTCTCATCTTCTTCCAGGTAACCCCCGACACCTGCACATTCTGATTGGGACCTCAGTGGTCATCATCCTCTTCATCCTCCTCTTCTTTCTCCTTCATCGCTGGTGCTCCAACAAAAAAAGTAAGTCTCACGAAGCAGAGGCCAGAGAGCTCAGGGCCATGTGGGGAAGCAGGATGGGAGCACTCAGGTGTGTGTTCCTCACAAACAGGATGGTCCCTGGCCCAAGGCAGCAGCCACAGAGGCAGGACTTTCTAGAGAGGGCACCAGACTCCCTGCCCCTGCCTTCAACTCACAGACCGTTGCCTGATTCTGAACTGTATCCTCATGTCCCCTGCAGCCACTCACATCCAGGAGAAGGTTCCATGACAGGCAGAAAGTGGGAGACAGAATCAATGGGATGGGAACTCAGA
Organism: Homo sapiens; assembly: GCF_000001405.40. Classification (NCBI taxonomy): domain Eukaryota; kingdom Metazoa; phylum Chordata; class Mammalia; order Primates; family Hominidae; genus Homo; species Homo sapiens. Next base: position 109,337 of record NW_016107312.1, on the reverse strand, counting down.
GCTATTCATGGGATGGGTCCTTGAGCTCAGAGAGATAGAATGTCTGAGTCTGCTGTTGGCAACTGAGGGACCTCAGCCACCTATGGTCTCCCCCTGTATGTTGGTATCTGCTTATGAAATGAGGACCCAGAAGTGCCCTCCGAGCTGTTTTGTTGACTTCCGTCTCCTACAGATGCTGCGGTAATGGACCAAGAGTCTGCAGGGAACAGAACAGCGAATAGCGAGGTAGGTACTCCTCGGCCCGGGCTCGTGGCTACTGTTATTCCCAAAGAGTCCTGGAAAATGTGAGCACCCTCCCTCACTCAGCATTTCCCTCTCTCCAGGACTCTGATGAACAAGACCCTCAGGAGGTGACATACACACAGTTGAATCACTGCGTTTTCACACAGAGAAAAATCACTCGCCCTTCTCAGAGGCCCAAGACACCCCCAACAGATATCATCGTGTACGCGGAACTTCCAAATGCTGAGTCCAGATCCAAAGTTGTCTCCTGCCCATGAGCACCACAGTCAGGCCTTGAGGGCGTCTTCTAGGGAGACAACAGCCCTGTCTCAAAACCGGGTTGCCAGCTCCCATGTACCAGCAGCTGGAATCTGAAGGCATGAGTCTGCATCTTAGGGCATCGCTCTTCCTCACACCACAAATCTGAATGTGCCTCTCACTTGCTTACAAATGTCTAAGGTCCCCACTGCCTGCTGGAGAAAAAACACACTCCTTTGCTTAGCCCACAGTTCTCCATTTCACTTGACCCCTGCCCACCTCTCCAACCTAACTGGCTTACTTCCTAGTCTACTTGAGGCTGCAATCACACTGAGGAACTCACAATTCCAAACATACAAGAGGCTCCCTCTTAACGCAGCACTTAGACACGTGTTGTTCCACCTTCCCTCATGCTGTTCCACCTCCCCTCAGACTAGCTTTCAGTCTTCTGTCAGCAGTAAAACTTATATATTTTTTAAAATAACTTCAATGTAGTTTTCCATCCTTCAAATAAACATGTCTGCCCCCATGGTTTCGGTAATGGGACTCTTTTCTTGCCTAAGGCTTCCGGTGTTATCAGTACCATGTCCATATAATCCCATCTGTTCCCCACTGAGTTCTCATCCCCGGACTCTGAGTTTCTGGAAGCAGGGTGGAGCCTCATTTGTCTCTGAGACTCCAATTTCCATCCAAAGATGTAGCACATAGGAGGTTCCAAGGATCACGAATCATATGAACAAGTGATACTCTTACTCTCTGCAGACCTGGAAAGCTGGCAGAGTCATTCCACAATGAAACATTTGTAGAATCATAGGCCTTGTTAGTCTCATCTCCATGGGGACACATATCAACACATCATCTTTCATAATATAAATATACGGTCACTCCTCCATATCTGCGGGGTTTACAGGTGTTTATTGAACCAAGTATAAATCAAAAATATTGAGAGAAAGTATCCACAGAGTTTCAAAAAGCATAACTATGTTGAATGGACACAAATGAAGCTGTGTGTAGGCTGTATCAGGAATTATAAGTAATCTAGAGATGATTTCATGTATACAGGAGGATGTGCATAGGTTATTTGCAAACTCTGTGCCATTTCATATAAGAGGCTTGAGCATCTACAGATTTTGGTATCTGAGTGGAGATCTCAAAACCAATCACCCACGAATAGTGAAGGATGACCGTATATGACTTTTATTTCTCAAATTTAAATATAAATCATAAAAAATGTACAACTAGATAAAAACTAAGAAGTGTTTTTATAGTGTGAGTTAGATTTATTTTTTCCTAGGTGTAACCAATTGGTTTAATATTATTTATTGAGAAGACATTCTATGCCACCTTAAACCACACGGCAGCCTTTGTCAACTCTAAAGGGACTGTGTGTACATGGATGTATTTTAGACACTGTTTCTGCTAAGGGGCTCTCTGTGTCCACACTCTTGATGATGCTGCACTTTATGTAGCCTTATAGAACCCTTTAAATTTAGTAGCCAGAGCCCTCTAATTTGTTATTATAGGCTGTTTGCTTTTTTTTTCTTGAGGCGGAGTCTTGCTCTGTCGCCCAGGCTGGACTGCAGTGACACAATCTCAGCTCACTGCAACCTCCGCCTCCCAGGTTCAAGCGATTCTCGTGCCTCAGCCTCTTGAGCAGCTGGCGTTACAGGTGCCTGCCACCAGGCACGGCTAATTTTTGGATTTTTAACAGAGACACGGTTTCACTATATTGGCCAAGCTGCTCTCAAACTCCTTATCTCAGTTGATCCGCCCACCTCGGCTTCCCAACGTGCTGGGGAAAACTTGATTTTCTATAGCATTATGTTACTGGATATTTCTGTAAAATTTAAAACGAGGGAGGGAGAGAGACAGACAGAGAGCAAACTCCAGAGTTGGGACTCTGGAATCTTGGGTCATGAGACAAATTTTAGATTAAACTACAAAACTCCAGAATTTACAGGTGTGGTTTTTGCTGATAAAGTACAATTCTAAGATTGTAAATAATTGCATAATCCTTCCCTGGGAATTTAAATCATTTTAGCTGGTTCTGCTGTAATACTAGAAATACAAGCATGAAAAATTCTAATGGTTTATTAGTCACAATGACTCCGAAAACATTAATAATACCTATTAGATACTTTGCATATTACACAGGAAGAAGAGTTTGAATCTCAGATAAAAACAAAAAAAATACATGAAAAGTCTTTCATGTTAGCACAGATTTTAGGCATCTCGTGTTCGGATAAAAATACATGAAAAGTCTTTCACGTTAGCACAGATTTTAGGCATCTTGTGTTCGGGAGGTTGGATCTGAGACGTGTTGTGAGTTGGTCATAGTGAAGGACGTGAGGTGCCAATTCTAGTGAGAACAANNTTNNNTNNNCCAGGAAGCCGTGTTCCGCTCTTGAGCAAGCATCCACTGGGCCTCATGCAAGGTAGAAAGAGCCTGCGTACGTCACCCTCCCATGATGTAGTCAACATGTAAGCTGCATGGGCAGGGCGCCAAATAACATCCTGTGCGCTGCTGAGCTGAGCTGGGGCGCGGCTGCCTGTCTGCACCGGCAGCACCATGTCGCTCATGGTCGTCAGCATGGCGTGTGTTGGTGAGTCCTGGAAAGGAATAGAGGGAGGGAGCGCGGGGATGGAGATCTGGGCCCAGAGGTGGAGATATAGGCCTGGAGGTGGAGTTATGGGCCTGGAGTGGAGATCTGGGCCTGGAGTGGATATATGGGCCTGGAGATGGAGTGATGGGCCTAGAAGTGGAGATCTGGGTCTGGAGTGGAGATATGGGCCTGGAGGTGGAGATATGGGCCTGGAGTGGAGATCTGGGCCTGGAGTGGAGATAGGAACCTGGAGGGGAGATATGAGCCTGGAGTGAAGATATTGGCCTGGGATGGAGATATGGGCCTGGAGTGGAGACATGGGCCTGGAGGTGGAGATATGGGCCTGGAGGTGGAGACATGGGCCTAGAGGTGGATATCTGGGCCTGGAGTGGACATATGGGCCTAGGATGGAGATATGGGCCTGGGTGTGGAGATATGGGCTTGGGGTGGAGATATGGGCCTGGATTGGAGATATGGGTCTAGGGTGGAAATATTGGCCTGGAGTGGAGATATGGGCCTGGAGTGGAGATATGGGCTTGGGGTGGGGATAGGGGCCTGGGGTGCGGATATGGGCCTGCAGGCTGGGTCTCTACACAGCCGACAGCCCTGTTCTTGGGTGCAGGCTGGCACTGAGGGTGAGTTTCCCTTCAGCCCAGCAAGGGCCTGGCTACCAAGACTCACAGCCCAGTGGGGGCAGCAAGGGAGTCCTGGTTTGCCTGCAGATGGATGGTCCATCATGATCTTTCTTTCCAGGGTTCTTCTTGCTGCAGGGGGCCTGGACACATGAGGGTGAGTCCTTCTCCAAACCTTCGGGTGTCATCTCCCCACATAAGAGGATTTTCCTGAAACAGGAGGGAAGCCCGGTGGGGGATTTTCTTATAAACAAGGATGAGGAGACCCTGGGGTGCTCAGCCCACAGTTCCGACCTTGCCCTCCCCAGCCTTCCTTTCCCTTGGCTGAGTCAGGTTCTGTGGGAACCCGGGAGGGTAGACTGGGGTCCTCCAAGCTGGGCTGTGCGGCTGGGATGTGGTGTCACTGGCAGAGGAAGGGAGCAAAGCAGTGCTAGGAACAGCAGGCCTCTGAGGACAAAGGTGTAACTCACACCCTCCAGCGTTTCCATGACGGTAGGGGCTGCAGTGTGGCTGCTGTCATTCTACCTCAGAGGTGGGGGAACCCCAGCCAGGGCCCTGACCTTCCAAATCCTCTGTTGGGGGCTCAGTTGTGTATTGTGGTTCACACATTGGCTGATATTCCATTCACAAAGAACATGCCCTCGACCCCATGTCTATTTGTGTTGTTTTATGTGAGTAATCTTGCAGTATTAAAATCTAGTAGGAGTCCCTTACTCAGCACTTGCTCAAAGTTCTCAGCTGACACTTTTGTTGTAGAGAGACGCCAAGTCTATGCGGGGTGGGTCCTTCCCGTACCCATGGGCACCCAAGTGTGGTAGGAGCCTTAGAAACGAGGAAAGTGGGGAGAATCTTCTGAGCACTGGCAGGGAGGGGCGGCTCCACATCCTCCTTTCTAAGGTGGCGCCTCCTTCTCCCCCAGGTGGTCAGGACAAGCCCTTGCTGTCTGCCTGGCCCAGCGCTGTGGTGCCTCGAGGAGGACATGTGACTCTTCTGTGTCGCTCTCGTCTTGGGTTTACCATCTTCAGTCTGTACAAAGAAGATGGGGTGCCTGTCCCTGAGCTCTACAACAAAATATTCTGGAAGAGCATCCTCATGGGCCCTGTGACCCCTGCACACGCAGGGACCTACAGATGTCGGGGTTCACACCCACGCTCCCCCATTGAGTGGTCAGCACCCAGCAACCCCCTGGTGATCGTGGTCACAGGTCAGAGGACTCATGTCTGGGCTTCTCCTTCTCCCACTTCCTGAATCCCAGAGCATCTGGTGGGGGTGTCCACCAGGGTCCAATCATCCAGGCCCTGACTGTATTTGGTGTCAATGGGGATTGAATACAGGGGAATGGGTGCTGTGGTGGAAAGAGTAACTGTCGGCAGCATGGCTATATTGTAATCCTTGGAGCCTGTGACTATTTATGTTATAGGACATGGGACTGAAGGGGAAGATGGAGTTCAGGTTGTTGATGAGTTGACCTTGAGATGGGGAGACGACCTGGACTCTCCCACTGGGCTCAGTGTAATCACAAGGGTCCACATGAGAGGAGGAGGAAGAGGAGAGTGGGGATTAGAGCAGCGTAGTGGGAGGGAGAGTCCACCAGCCACTGCGGGCTTTGAAAGTGGAGGAAGGCCAGAAGCCACGGAATGCAGGTGGCCTTTAGGGGCTGGAGAAGTCAATGGAACTGATTCTCCCGAGTCTCCAGAGGGAATGCAGCCCTGCAGATGCCTTGATTGTAGCCCAGGAAGAACAGGGTCTGATTTCTGTCAACAGAAGTGTTCTCTCCCGCCGCCGTGTTTGTGATAATTTTCTGCAGCAACAACAGGAAACAACACAGGAATCCAGGTCAAGGACAAGTTAAAAAACCAAACAAGAGGGTTGGCTACCCTAAGGTCAGCAAGGGTGCACTGCTGATGCCACCACCAGGCTGGAGCCGCATAGGGAGGGATCCACAGGGAGAGTCGGGGGTGGAGGGTGAGAGAGAGAGAGAGCATTAGGTCATAGAGCAGGGGAGTGAGTTCTCAGCTCAGGTGTGAGGGGAGCTGTGACAAGGAAGAACCTCCCTGAGGAAACTGCCTCTTCTTCCAGGTCTATTTGGGAAACCTTCACTCTCAGCCCAGCCGGGCCCCACGGTTCGCACAGGAGAGAACGTGACCTTGTCCTGCAGCTCCAGGAGCTCATTTGACATGTACCATCTATCCAGGGAGGGGAGGGCCCATGAACCTAGGCTCCCTGCAGTGCCCAGCGTCAATGGAACATTCCAGGCTGACTTTCCTCTGGGCCCTGCCACCCACGGAGGGACCTACACATGCTTCGGCTCTCTCCATGACTCACCCTATGAGTGGTCAGACCCGAGTGACCCACTGCTTGTTTCTGTCACAGGTGAGGAAAGCCCATGCCTGTCCCATGTCCTGTGATCCTAGAGCCTTAGCTGAGGAGCTTCCTGCTGATGATGGAGAGAAGCATGGACAGATGCAGAGAGAACACGCAGCATGGTGTGAGGGAGGGATCAGGGCACAGGATGGCAGACAGGGCACCTCCAAACCCTCCTGCACGGCCTGCATGGAGGCCCGCGGCCAGGGCTCCAGGCACCCAGGCAGATGGAGAAAGTGGTCAGGACAGACCCAGAGGAGGGAGACTCGGCTCAGTTTGGGGAGATCAGAGGCTCCCTCAGACCCTAAACCTTACCCATTTCCCAGAAGCCCATACTGGCCTCTCACCCACACAGAGATGTCATCACCAGCAACCCCTACACCCTTTTCTTTCCGTTTGAAAAAACATTTATTTAGGTTAAATGTAACTATATAATTTGCCACCTTTACCATTTTTAAAAGTAAAATCTAGTGGTCATAAATTCCTTTATATGCAGGGTGCAGTGGCTCACAGTTATAATCTCGGTGCTTTGAGAGGCCAAGGAAGGTGGATCATTTAAGATCAGAGGCTCGAGATCAGCCTGGCCAACATGAGGGAAATTCATCTTTACTAAACAGACAAGAAAAATTGGCTGGGCATGCTGGCATGCACCTGTATTCCTAGCTACATGGGAGGCTGAGGCAGGAGAAGTACGTAAGCCCAGGAGGCAGAGGTTGCACTGAGCTGAGATCAGGCCACTGCACTGCAGCCTGGGAGACAGAGAGAGATTCTGTCTCTAAATAAATAAATACATCTATATTCTTTTTTATTGTTGTTGTTACACTCCACCCTTTACTTCCTGCCCTCTGGTAGCCACCATTCTACTCTCTACCTTCATGAGATCCACCTTTTAGCTCCTGTATATGGGTGAGAAATGGGAATCTTTGCAATGACCTCCAGTTCCATCCATGTGGCTGCAAATGTCAGGATGTTATTCTTTCTACGGATGAGTACTCTCCACTGTGTGTGTGTACTACATTCTCTCTATCCATTCACCCACTGACGGGCAGGTAAGTTGACTCCACATCTTGGCTACTGTGAACAGTGCTGCACCAATCGTATGAGTGCAGATATCACTTCGATACACTGATGTCCTTCCCTTTGGGTTTACACCCAGTAGTGGAATTGCTAGATCCTATCAACAGGGTACCAGGGTTCTCCTTTCTCTACCACCTTGCCAGCATTTATTTTGTCTGTGTTTCAGATAAAAGCCACTTTAATGGGATGAGATGATAGCTCACTGTGATTTCAATTGGCATGATTAGTGATACTGAGCACTTTTTCATGTACATGTTCGCCATTTGTACGTTTTGTTTGTTGAGAAATGTCTGTTCAGGTCTTTTACTAATTGTTAAATTAAATTCATTGTTTTATACCGTTGCTTGAGTTTTATGTATATTCTAGTTATTAATCCCCTCTCAGATGCATACTTCACAAATATTTTCTCCCAATTTGTCTCTTCTTCACTTTGTTGGTTGCTTCCTTTGCGGTGCAGAAGCTGCTTACTTTGATGTAATCCCGAAGGTCTATTATTTTGTTTTGATTTCTTGTGTTTTTGAGATTTCAAATAAAATGTCTTTCCTCAGACAAATGTCCTGGAGCATTTCCCCACTCTTTCCTTTTAGACGCTTAATGGTTTCAGGCCTTAAGTGTTTCTTCCATTTTCATTTGATTTCTGTGTATGGTGAGAGGTAGAGGTGCAGTTTCATCAACTGCATGTAGATACCAGTTTTCCCTGCTCCATTTATTGAAAAGACCGTCGTTTCCTGATTGCAGGTTCTTGGCACGTACAATCGTCAAAGTCCATTGGATGTGAATGCATGAATTATATCTGTGTTCTTCATTCTGCTCCATTGCTCTAAGGGCCTTTATGCCAATGTCATGCTGTTGTGCTTACTACAGCTTTGTAACATATTTTTAAGTCAGGGAGTGTGAGGCCTCCAGCACCTGTTTTGTCTTTATACCTCGAAATCTCAGGACACTGGGCATCATTTAACAATGATGATGGAGAAGGGGACGCCAGGACTCCTAGGGCCCAACATTAGATAACAGAGTGTTGGCCATGAACCAACCTCAAAGATTTCCTTTGAGTAGAAGACAGGCATCCTCATTTCCTCACCTCTCTCCTGTCCTGTGTTCTAGGAAACTCTTCAAGTAGTTCATCTTCACCCACTGAACCAAGCTCCAAAACTGGTGAGTAAAGATCCCTCTTATCTCTGCTTTTGGAAACCTGGGGAGGTTGGTATCTTGGATTCAAGCATTGGCTCAGCACCTCCCAGCTCTGTGATTGTGGGCCTGTCTTCTAACATCTCTGACCCCCAGACACTACAACAGCGAAGGGTATCTGAGGACAGCAAAGGGCTCAGTGAAGTCTCTTCATTTCAAATTTCTGCAGCTGAGACCTCCTCCAAGCTAGACGGACGAGTACAAATCTGACATCCTTCTCAGGGATAAAGTGGTGTTTTTTCTGCCTGCATTCCAAATTGGAGGATAAATTTGAGGGGACTTGAGAGAGGGAGGGGAAGGGAACATCTGATGAGGGAAAGGTGATTTAGAGAAGTTCCACTTGCCAAGGAATGAGCCCCTGTTGGTCATGATGCGACCTTGGCTGAGTCAGCAGAGCAAGAGCCTTGCAGTAAGAAGGAACGTAGTTCATCCACAAATATGACACTTCCACTTACTCACTTATTCAGCCACTGCCCTGTGCTCTGACTGTACAGTGTGGAACCCTTTCCTGCTGTTGCCATAATAAATCTCCACAATCTTCATGGATGACAACAACACAGCTTTTAAAATTATCTTACAGTGTTATAGCTCAGAAATATGAAATGCATTTCACTGGGCTAAAATCAAGGTGACTGCGAGGCTGCCTTTTCTCTGAAGGTTCCAGGCGAGAATCGGCTTTTCACATTTCCCAGCTCCCAGAGGTTCCCACGCTCCTTGGCATCTGGTCCCCATCCTCCTTCCTCGAAGCCCACAAAAGCTCATCACATCTCTCACGTGGCATCACTCAGATCCCTCTTCCTTACCTCACCTCTTTCTCTAAGTGTTGCTCTGACTTTTTCTTCCTCTTTTAAAGACTTTGGGATTCTATTGAGTTTACCAAGATAATCCATCACAATCTCCCTAAAATCACCCAAGATAACCTCTTTTTAAGTTCAGCTGATTAGCAACCATAATTCCATCTGCAATCTTTATTCCTCCTTTCATGTAAAATAACATATTCACAAGCTATGGAGGCTAGGACAGGGACATTTTGGGGGTGGGCCAGCATTCTCCTGCCTTCCACAAATGGTAAACACGATGCATTTGGCCTCTGCTCTTAGGACACTGACATTGCAGATGGGCAAATGGGAGGGCAGAATATGAATGCACAAGTGGACCAGTAATGATTGATCCATTGGGAAGCATCCGTGCATGAAATCTATTTACCTATTTATTTATCTATTTATCTATTTATGTATTTATTTATTTGCGGCGAAGTCATTCTCTGTCCCCGGGCTGGAGTGCAGTGGCATGACCTCAGCTCACCACAACCTCCGCCTCCCGGGTTCAGGCGATTCTCCTGCCTCAGCCTCCTGACTAGTTGTGATTCCAGTCCCCTCCACCACACCCAGCTAATATTCTTTTATATTTTTTAGTAGAGATGGAGTTTCACCATGTTGCGCAGATTGTCTCCAACTCCCAACCTCAAGTGATCCGACCGTCTCAGCATCCCAAAATGCTGGGACTCAAGGTGTGAGACACTGCGCCCAGCCGAAATTTAAAATAAATAATAAAGAATTCTAAGTGTATAATTTCAGGAGACAGAGAAAGTCTCACTAATCAGATAATATTTGTGACCATAATGAAAAAAAAAAGTAGATTCAACCCCTGGAAGATTGGCGGAAGGATTTTCCACACACAGCTGTCAGCCGTGAAGGCACAAATGTGAAAACAATCTGATGTGGAAGGAAGAGGCTCTGCATTCAAATGCTGGGAATGAAGTGGGGAGAATGACAAGACGACTGTGGAGAGACGGAGAGCACTCTGGGTACACAGGAAACTAAGGAGGAACAAGGAGCGTGTGTTTGACACTCACAGCCATTGGATTCACCTCGGGGTAGCCAGGAATCCCTACATGATTAATATGACTGACATGAAAATAAGGACGCCCAAGTGCGTAACTGGAATCTAGGAGACCGTGGAAAAGGCAATTCCCGCCCCACTGGTGAAATGTGGTGCTGATTTAGACACTAAATGAATGAAGTAGATGGGTATAAGATATGTCTGTGAGGTAGAATCATTTGTAGGGAGGGCTTGCTGGATTTGATAATGCCTACTTATTTAATTTTGAATATATTAATTTCTTTCTGAGATTTATTTTTCCTACATGTAAATCAATATCTGGCAGAGGAGTGATTGATAGATAGATGAGGGGTGGTGCAAATGAAGGGACTTATTATAGCATAATATACAAGTCTGTGAATGGGAGCTTACGCCTGTAACCCAACACTTTGGGAGGCCAAGGCGTTTGGATCACTTGAGGTCAGGAGTTTGAGACCAGCCTGGCCAACATGGAGAAACCCCATGCTCTTTTTAGCAACCAGTCCTAGGGACCTCATGGAGAACTTGCCAACCACGTCTCATGGGGACAGCATTAATGTATTCATGATGGATCCACCCCCATAACTGGAACGTCTCTCAATAGGCCCAGCCTCCCACACTGCGAGATAAGTGTCAACGTGAGGTTTGGCGGGGTCAAACATCCAAACTATAGCAGTGGTATCCCCAGCATGTTCTCTGATTATTTTGAGAACTATAACTGAGAAAGCAGGAGAAAGCTGGGTATCCTGCCATCGGGGAACTTGTCCTAAACAGATGTTGTATGTGCTTAGCTGGCAACCAAGAAATGAGAGACAATCCATAAAGAGGAACTGCTATAATTAGCTTCTTATTGGATTCCCACCTTCCCCCAGGTATCCGCAGACACCTGCACATTCTGATTGGGACCTCAGTGGCTATCATCCTCTTCATCATCCTCTTCTTCTTTCTCCTTCATTGCTGCTGCTCCAACAAAAAGAGTAAGTCTCACGAAGCAGAGGTCAGAGAGCTCAGGACCATGTGGGGAAGCAGGATGGGAGCACACTGGTGTGTGTTCCTGACTGGCAGGATGGTCCCTGGACCAAGGCAGGAGCCACAGAGGCAGGGCTTTCTAGAGAGAGCACCAGACACCCTGCCCCTGCCTTCAGCTCACAGACCATTGCCTGATTCTGAACTGTATCCTCACGTCCCCTGCAGCCACTGACATCCAGGAGAAGGTTCCATGACAGGCAGAAAGGGGAGACAGAATCACTGGGATGGGAACTCAGAGCTATTCATGGGATGGGTCCTTGAGCTCAGAGAGATAGAATGTCTGGGTCTGGCTGATGACAGCTGAGGGACCTCAGGCACCTACGGCCTCCCGCTGTGTGTTGGTGTCTGCTCATGAAATGAGGACCCAAAAGTGCCCTTCCAGCTGTTTTGATGACTTCTATCTCCTACAGATGCTGCTGTAATGGACCAAGAGCCTGCCGGGGACAGAACAGTGAACAGGGAGGTAGGTTCTCCTCAGCCCAGCCTCATGGATTGAGTCTCATTCCCTAATAGTCTTGAAGAATGTGAGCACCCTCCCTCACTCAGCATTTCCCTCTCTCCAGGACTCTGATGATCAAGACCCTCAGGAGGTGACATATGCACAGTTGGATCACTGCGTTTTCACACAGACAAAAATCACTTCCCCTTCTCAGAGGCCCAAGACACCTCCAACAGATACCACCATGTACATGGAACTTCCAAATGCTAAGCCAAGATCATTGTCTCCTGCCCATAAGCACCACAGTCAGGCCTTGAGGGGATCTTCTAGGGAGACAACAGCCCTGTCTCAAAACCGGGTTGCTAGCTCCCATGTACCAGCAGCTGGAATCTGAAGGCATCAGTCTTCATCTTAGGGGATCGCTCTTCCTCACACCACAAATCTGAACATGCCTCTCTCTTGCTTACAAATGTCTAAGGTCCCCACTGCCTGCTGGAGAGAAGACACACTCCTTTGCTTAGCCCACAATTCTCTATTTCACTTGACCCCTGCCCACCTCTCCAACTGAACTGGCTTACTTCCTAGTCTACTTGAGGCTGCAATCACACTGAGGAACTCACAATTCCAGACATACAAGAGGCTCCCTCTTAACATGGCACTGAGACACGTGCTGTTCCACCTTCCCTCATGCTGTTTCACCTTTCCTCAGACTATTTTCCAGCCTTCTGTCAGTCAGCAGTGAAACTTATAAAATTTTTTGTGATTTCAATGTAGCTGTCTCCTTTTCAAATAAACATGTCTGCCCTCATTGCTTTAGGTAATGTGACACTATTCGCTGAAAGAAACCGCTGTTATCATTACCATGTCCACATAACCCCATCTGTTATCCACTGGGTTCTCTCCCCTGGACTCTGAGCTTCTGGAAGCAGGGTGGAGCCTCATTTGTCTCTGGGACTCCAATTTCCATCCAAAGATGCAGCACATAGGAGGTTCCAAGGATCATGAATCACATGAACAAGTGATATTCTTACTCTCTGCAGACCTGGAAAGCTGGCAGAGTCATTCCACGATGAAACATTTGTAGAGTCATAGGCCTTGTTAGTCTCATCTCCATGGGGACACATATCAACACATCATCTTTCATGCTATATATATATATACAGTCGCTCCTCCGTATCTGTGGGGTTTACAGGTGTTTATTGAACCAACTATAAATAAAAAATATTCAGAGAAGAAAATCCACAAACTTTCAAAAAGCAAAACTATGTTGAAGGGACACAAATGAAGCAGTGTGTAGGCCATATCAGGAATTATAAGTAATCTAGAGATGATTTCATGTATACAGGAGGATGTGCATGGGTTATATGCAAGCGCTGTGCCATTTCATGTAAGAGGCTTCAGCATCTGCAGATTTTGGTATCTGAGTGGAGATCCTGAAACCAATCACCCAGGAATAGTGAAGGATGACCGTATAAAACTGTTATTTCTAAATTTTAAATATAAATCATAAAAAAATTATAAACTAGATAAAAACAAGAAGTGTTTTTATAGTGTGAGAATAAGTTTAGATTTATTTTTTCCTACGTGTAACCCTTTGGTTTAATATTATTTATTGAGAAGACATTCTATGCCACCTTAAACCACAGGGCAGCCTTTGTCAACTCTAAAGGGACTGTGTGTACACGGATGTATTTTAGACACTGTTTCTGCTAAGGGGCTCTCTGTGTCCACACTCTTGAGGATGCTGCACTTCATGTAGCCTTATAAAACCCTTTAAATTTAGTAGCCAGAGCCCTCTAATTTGTTATTATAGGCTACTTGCTATTTTTTTTTTCTTAAGGCGGAATCTTGCTCTGTCACCCAGGCTGGACTGTAGTAGTGCAATCTCAGCTCACTGCAAACTCCGCCTCCCAGGTTCAAGCGATTCTCGTGCCTCAGCCTCTTGAGTAGATGGCATTACAGGTGTCTGCCACCAGGCACGGCTAATTTTTGAATGTTTAGCAGAGACACGGTTTCACTATGTTGGCCAGGCTGCTCTCAAACTCCTCATCTCAGTTGATTCGCCCACCTCGGCTTCCAAACATGCTGGGGGAAACTTGATTTTCTATAGCATTATGTTACTGGATATTTCCGTAAAATTTAAAATGAGGGAGGGACAGAGACAGAGAGGGAGCAAACTCCAGAGTTGGGACTCTGGAATCTTGGGTCATGAGACAAATTATAGATAAAACTATAAAAATCCAGAATTTACATGTGTGGTTTTTGCTGATAAAGTACAATTCGAAGATTGTAAATAATTGCATAATCCTTTCCTGGGAATTTAAATCATTTTAACTGGTTTTGCTGTAATACTAGAAATACAAGCATGAAAAATTCTAATGGTTTATTAGTCACAATGACTCCGAAAACATTAATAATACCTATTAGATACTTTGCATATTACACAGGAAGAAGAGTTTGAATCTCAGATAAAAACAATAAAAATACATGAAAAGTCTTTCACGTTAGCACAGATTTTAGGCATCTTGTGTTCAGGAGGTTGGATCTGAGACGTGTTTTGAGTTGGTCATAGTGAAGGACGCTAGGTGTAAATTCTAGTGAGAACAATTTCCAGGAAGCCGTGTTCCGCTCTTGAGCAAGCACCCACTGGGCCTCATGCAAGGTAGAAAGAGCCTGCGTACGTCACCCTCCCGTGATGTGGTCAACATGTAAACTGCATGGGCAGGGCGCCAAATAACATCCTGTGCGCTGCTGAGCTGAGCTAGGGGTGCGGCCGCCTGTCTGCACCGGCAGCACCATGTCGCTCATGGTCATCAGCATGGCGTGTGTTGGTGAGTCCTGGAAGGGAATAGAGGGAGGGAGCGCGGGGATGGAGATCTGGGCCCAGAGGTGGAGATATAGGCCTGGAGGTGGAGTTATGGGCCTGGAGTGGAGATCTGGGCCTGGAGGGGATATATGGGCCTAGAGATGGAGTGATGGGCCTAGAAGTGGAGATCTGGGTCTGGAGTGGAGATATGGGCCTGCAGTGGAGATATGGGCCTGGAGTGGAGAGAGGAACCTGGAGAAGAGATAGGAACCTGGATGGGAGGTAGGAGCCTAGGGTGGAGATATGGGACTGGAGTGGAGATATGGGACTGGAGTAGAGATATGGGCCTGGAGTGGAGTTATGGGCCTGGAGTGAAGTTATGGGCCTGGAGGTGGAGATATGGGCCTGGAGTGGAGATATGGGCCTGGAGGTGCAGATATGGACCTGGAGTGGAGATATGGCCCTGGAGTGGAGATGTGGGTCTGGAGTGGAGATATGGGCCTGGAGGTGGAGATAAGGGCCTGGAGTGGAGATATGGGCCTGGAGTGGAGATATGAGCCTGGAGATGGAGATATGGGCCTGGAGTGGAGATATGGGCCTGGAGGTGGAGATATGGGCCTGGAGTGGAGATATGGGCCTGGAGTGGAGATATGGGCGTGGGGTGGAGATATGGGCCTTGAGTGGAGATATGGGACTGAAGTGGAGATATGGGTGTGGGGTGGAGATATGGGACTGGAGTGCAGATATGGGCATGGGGTGGAGATATGGGACTGGAGTGGAGATATGGGCGTGGGGTGGAGATATGGGACTGGAGTGGAGATATGGGCGTGGGGTGGAGATATGGGCCTGGAGTGGAGATATGGGACTGGAGTGGAGATATGGGCGTGGGGTGGAGATATGTGCCTGGAGTGGAGATATGGACGTGGGGTGGAGATATGGGCCTGGAATGGAGATATGGGCCTGGAGTGGAGATATGGGCGTGGGGTGGAGATATGGGACTGGAGTGGAGATATGGGCCTGTTGTGGAGATATGGGCTTGGAGTGGAGATATGATCCTGGAGTGTAGTTATGGGCCTGGAGGTGGAGATCTGGGCCCGGGGTGGAGATATGGGCCTGGAGTGGAGATATGGGCCTGGGGAGGAGATATGGGCCTGGAGTGGAGATATGGGCCTGGACTGGAGTTATGGACCTAGGGTGGAGATCTGAGCCTGGATTGGAGATGTGGGCCCAGATTGGCTATATGGGCCTAGGGTGGGAATATCAGCCTGGAGTGGAGATATGTGCCTGGAGTGGAGATATGGGCTTGGGGTAGGGATATGGGAATGGAGGCTGGGTCTCTGCACAGCCGAGAGCCCTGTTCTTGGGTGCAGGTAGGCACTGAGGGTGAGTTTCCCTTCGGCCCAGGAAGGGCCTGGCTACCAAGACTCACAGCCTAGTGGGGATAGCAAGGAAGGCCTGGTTTGCCTGCAGATGGATGGTCCATCATGATCTTTCTTTCCAGCGTTCTTCTTGCTGCAGGGGGCCTGGCCACATGAGGGTAAGTCCTTCTCCAAACCTTAAGGTGTCATCTCCCCACATAAGAGGATTTTCCTGAAACGGGAGGGAAGTCCTGTCAGGGAGTCTCTCTTAAACTAGAAAGAGGGGACCCTGGGGTGCTTGGCCCACAGTTCCGACCTTGCCTCCCTGGCCTTTCATTTCCTTGGCAGAGTCAAGTTCTGTGGGGACCAGGGTTACACTAGGGTGCTCAAAGCTGGGGTGTGTGGTGGGAAAGTGGTAGGAACAGCAGATCCTCTGAGGACAAAGGTGTTACTCACACACTTCAGCGTTTCCATGACGGTAGGGGCTGCAGTGTGGCTGCTGTCATTCTACCAGAAGAGGTGGGAAACCACAGCCATGGCCCTGACATTCCAAATCCTCTGATGGGGGCTCAGTTGTTTATTTTCATTCAGGCATCTGCTGATATTCCATTCTCAAAGGACATGCCCTCCACCCCATGTCTACCCTGTGTTGTTTTATGTGAGTAATCTTACAGTATTAAAATCTAGTAGGAGTCTCTTACTCAGCACTTGCTCAAAGTTCTCAGCTGACACTTTTGTTGTAGGGAGACAGCTTGTCTTTGTGGGATGAGTCCTTCCTTTAGCCCTAGGCACCAAGGTGTGATAGCAGCCATAGAAATGTGGAAAGTGGGGAGAATCTTCTGAGCACAGGGAGGGAGGGGCGGCTCCACATCCTCCTCTCTAAGGCGGCGCCTCCTTCTCCCCAAGGTGGTCAGGACAAGCCCTTGCTTTCTACCTGGCCCAGCCTTGTGGTGCCTCCAGAACATGTGACTCTTCGGTGTCACTCTAATCTTGGGTTTAACAACTTCAGTCTGTACAAGGATGATGGGGTGCCTGTCCCTGAGCTCTACAACAGAATATTCTGGAAAAGCCTTTTCATGGGCCCTGTGACCCCGTCACACACAGGGACCTATAGATGCCGGGGTTCACACACACACTCCCCCAGTGGGGGGTCGGCACCCAGCAACCCCCTGGTGATCGTGGTCACAGGTCAGAGGGCTCCTGTCTGGGATTCTCCTTGTCCCACCTCCTGAATCCCAGAGCTTCTGGTAGGCATGTCCTTGAGGGTCCCTTCACGCAGGCCCTGACTGTATTTGGGGTAAAGGGGGATTGAATACAGGGAAATGGGTGCTGTGGTGGGAAGAATAATTGTCCCCAGTGATGACTACATTCTAATCCCTGGAGTCTGTGACTATTTATGTTATAGGGGAAGGGACTGAAGGGGAAGATGGAGCTCAGGTTGTTGATGAGTTGACCTTGAGATGGGGAGAAGGCCTGGACTGTCCCCCTGGGCTCAGTGTAATGACAAGTGTCCACAGGAAAGGAGGAGGAAGAGGGGAGTGGGGATTAGAGCAGCGTAATGGGAGTCTCCATCAGCTTTGAAGGTGGAGGAAGGCCAGGAGCCATGAATGCAGGTGGCCTATAGAGGCTGGAAAAGTCAAGGAACTGATTCTCCTGAGTCTCCAGAGGGAACGAAACCCTACAGGTGCCTTGATTTTAGCCCAGGAAAAACAGGGCCCAACTTCTGCCTCCAGAAATGGAAGGGGTCAGTGTGCTCTCTCCTGCTGCCATGCTGCTGATAATTTTCTACAGCAGCAACAGGAAACCAACACCGGAACCCAGCTCGAGGAAAAGTTAAGAAAGGACACAAGGATAGCCGGGCGTGGTGGCAGGTGCATGTAATCCTAGCGACTTGGGAGGCTGAGGGCAGGAGAATCACTTGAACCCAGGAGACAGAGGTTGCAGTGAGCCTAGACCACACCACTTCACTCCAGCCTGGGCAAAGGAGTGAGACTCTGTCTCCAAAATTAATTAATTAAAGAAACCAAACAAGGAGAAGGTTGGCTACACCAAGATCAGCAAGTGAGGGATGATGATGCCACCACCAGGCTCCATCCACATAGGGAGCGGTTGATACTCCTCCAACCAGCACCAGGAGCCAGGCTATGGAAGCTGGCACAGGCATGGCAAGAGTGGCTCCCAGTCCCCACCAGGAACAGGGTGTGTGGACACTGGTGCCTGCCTTACTGATCAGTTCATACCTCCTGCCAAGGATTCCAATTCGACCAAAAGAGATTGAACCAGGCTGCTAAGAGCCTGGATGTGCAGCCTATCCTGGTTCCTCTTCCACCCCCACATATACAGCAGGAAAGACATTAGTTCAAAATAGATACAACAGCCGAAGAGATGAGGCTGAGCCCAGCGGCAAGGGAATCAGAGGTTACTAGAGACAGAGGGACAGAGAAGAGGGAGGGAGACAGATGGAAGGACCTGCACCAGGAGTTATGGGCACAGAAAAGAACATGAAGACACAGAGAGGAAGGAGAGAGACAGACACCAGGGAGGGGAAGCCTCACTCAATCCAGGTGCCATGGATGGGATGATAAAGAGAGACACCTTCTAAATTCACAAACTCTCTTCCTAGGATTCCGCAGAAAACCTTCCCTCCTGGCCCACCCAGGTCCCCTGGTGAAATCAGAAGAGACAGTCATCCTGCAATGTTGGTCAGATGTCATGTTTGAGCACTTCCTTCTGCACAGAGAGGGGACGTTTAACCACACTTTGCGCCTCATTGGAGAGCACATTGATGGGGTCTCCAAGGGCAACTTCTCCATCGGTCGCATGACACAAGACCTGGCAGGGACCTACAGATGCTACGGTTCTGTTACTCACTCCCCCTATCAGTTGTCAGCGCCCAGTGACCCTCTGGACATCGTGATCACAGGTGAGAGTGTCCAGACATTCTTCTCATTGTCATTGGGATGCAGAGTGAATGATCCAGGACTTGGAGGCCCAGGTGGTTGTAAGGAAGATGAGCTTGGTATTCTTATGGAGAGAGACTGACTTGGTGAGGTCTGTACCAACAGAGACAGAGAAACAGGAGACACAAGTACAGACCAGGTGTCATAACAGAGGACACACACAGGGGCCTTTCCGAGAGTTAGAAAAGACAGAAGGAGTTAAAGGAGACAGACAGACAGACATGTCCCAGAGAGAGGTGTCCCTCCATGCTGACTTTGCTCAGAGACCTGGCACATGTTAGAAGTTTCATTTCTGTTTTACCTCCACAAAGTGTTCTCTACCAGGAGAACCCAAGGACACCCATATTTCTGACCTGAGTTGGGCCCTATGGCCTCAGGCCTTCTGGCACCTACAGATGCCATGTTTATTCTGACACCTCTGCCTTCCAGGTAATGGAGAGTAATCGTCCCAGGATATCATGGCCCCAGAACACCAACCCCTGTATGCTGTGTGAACTTGTAGTCTCCAGACTGGATTCTGAGGCTCACATTCCAAATAACCCCACATATGAAAGGATCACTGAGAGGCACAGAGAAAAATCAGGAACACCAAAAAGCAAAGACATAAACACACAGAGAATGAGCCAGAGGAAGGAGATTGAGAGACTCACAGACACATAAAGAGAGAGAAAAGAGGGCAGAGGAGTGGTGAGAATGATGGAAGGGAGCAGAGAAAAGCACTAAAATTAGAGTCATGAGGGAGAGGCACAAGGACATAGAAAGATGGAGATGTGGGGATGAATTGCAGAGATTCCAAAGAGAACTAGAGAGACCGAGAGGCAGAGCAAGACAGATGATAGATGGATAGATATAGATAGATGATAAATAGGTAGATGATAGATAATAGGTTATAGATACATAGATGATGATTGATTGATTCATTAATAGATGAGACATAGAGATGATGATGATGAAGACAGATAGATAATACATAGAGATAGAGAGGCAGACATAGAGAAATCATAGAGAGAGAGAGATGATACACAGATATAGATAATAGATGATTGATGGATAGATAGAAAATTGATAGATAAATAGATGATATATAGATATAGATGACAGGTAGAGAATTTGTAGATAGGCACGGAATAGATAAATAGATAGATCGATAGATAATAGATAGAAATATGCAGAAAGTTATGAACAGGACACAAAGTGAGAAACTCAGAATTAAAAAAAGTAACATCAAGTGAACCAATCCAAGGAGAGTCAGAGAGAATAAAACAATCCAAAAAGAGAAAACATATCTAGAGGTGGGGAAGTGAGGTCAGAGACCTAGAGAGACAGAGAAGGTGGAAGGAGGAAATAGACGTGAAGAGAGATGGGGTGGAGGGTGAGAGAGAGAGAGAGAGAGCATTAGGTCACAGAGCAGGGGAGTGAGTTCTCAGCTCAGGTGAAGGGAGCTGTGACAAGGAAGATCCTCCCTGAGGAAAATGCCTCTTCTCCTTCCAGGTCTATATGAGAAACCTTCTCTCTCAGCCCAGCCGGGCCCCACGGTTCTGGCAGGAGAGAGCGTGACCTTGTCCTGCAGCTCCCGGAGCTCCTATGACATGTACCATCTATCCAGGGAAGGGGAGGCCCATGAACGTAGGCTCCCTGCAGGGCCCAAGGTCAACAGAACATTCCAGGCCGACTTTCCTCTGGACCCTGCCACCCACGGAGGGACCTACAGATGCTTCGGCTCTTTCCGTGACTCTCCATACGAGTGGTCAAAGTCAAGTGACCCACTGCTTGTTTCTGTCACAGGTGAGGAAAGCCCATGGCTGTCCCATGTCCTATGATCCTAGAGCCTTAGCTGAGGAGCTTCCTGCTGAGGATGGAGAGAAGCATGGACAGATGCAGAGAGAAGACGCAGCCTCGGTGTGAGGGAGGGATCAGGGCACAGGATGGCAGACAGGGCACCTCCAAACCCTCCTACATGGCCTGCATGGAGGCCCGCGGCCAGGGCTCCAGGCACCCAGGCAGATGGAGAAAGCGGTCAGGAGAGACCCAGAGGAGGGAGACTGGGCTCAGTTTGGGGAGATCAGAGGTTCCCTCAGCCCCTCAACATTACCCATTTCCCAGAAGCCCATCCTGGCCTCTCACCCACACAGAGATGTCATCACCAGCAATCCCTACACCCTTTACTTTTCTTTGAAGAAATATTTATTGAGGATAAATATACCTATATAGCTTACCACCTTTAACATTTTTTTTTGAGGTGGAGTCTAGCTCTGTCCCCTATGCTGGAGTGCAGTGGCACAATCTCAGCTCACTGCAACCTCCGCCTCCTGGGTTCAAGCGATTCTCCTGCCTCAGCCACCTGAGTAGCTGGTGCTACAGGCACGCACCACCATGCCAGGCTACTTTTTGTATTTTTAGTAGAGAGGTGGTTTCACCATGTTGGTCGAGCTGGTCTCGAACTCCTGACCACATGATCCACCCGCATCAGCCTCCCAAAGTGCTGGGATTACAGGCATGGGCCACCGCACCCAGCCACATTTACCATTTTTAAGTGTAAAGTCTAGTGGTCATAAATACATTTATATATATATATATATACATTTTTTTTACCCTCCACCCTTTTCTTCCTGTCCTCCAGTAGCCACCATTCTACTCTCTACCTTCATGAGATCCACCTTTTAGCTCCTGTATATGGGTGAGAAATGGGAATCTTTGTAATGACCTCCAGTTCCATCCATGTGGCTGCAAATGACAGGATGTTATTCTTTCTATGGATGAGTAGTCTCCACTGTGCGTATGTACTACATTCTCTCTATCCATTCACCCACTGATGGGCAGGTAGGTTGACTCCTCATCTTGGCTACTGTGAACAGTGCTGCACCAATCATACGAGTGCAGATATCACTTCGATATATTGATTTACTTTCCTTTGGATATAAACCCAGTAGTGAAATTGCTGGATACTATGAAAGTTCTCTTTTTTTTTTTTTTTCTTTTTTGAGAAAGAGTTTCCCTCCTTAGCCCAAGCTGGAGTCAAAGTGGTGCGACCTTGGCTCATTGCAACCTCCGCCTCCTGGGTTCCAATGATTTTCCTGCCTCAGCCTCCCTAGTAGCTGGGATTACAGGTGCACGCCACCATGCCTGGCTACTTTTTGGTTTTTTTAGTATAGATGCGGTTTCCCCATGTTGGCTGGGCTGCTCTCAAACTCATGACCTCAACTGAGGTGCCCGCCTCAGTCTCCCAAAGTGCCGGGATTACAGGCCTGATCCACCACACCCAACCTCTTTTTAGTTCTTTAAAGGACTTCCATACTTTTCTCCGTAATCGCTGTACTAATTTACACTCCTCCCAACAGGGTACCAGGGTTCTCCTTTCTCTACCACCTTGCCAGCATTTCTTTTGCCTGTCTTGCAGCTAAAAGCCATTTTATTTTATTTCATTTTATTTTGAGGTGGAGTTTCGCTCTTGTCACCCAGGCTGAGTGCAGTGGTGCGATCTCGGCTCACCGCAACCTCCACCTCCCAGGTTCAAGCGATTCTCCTGCCTCAGCCTCCCGAGTAGCTGGAATTACAGGCACACGCCACCACGCCCTACTAATTTTTGTATTTTTAGTAGAGACAGCGTTTCTCTATGTGGGTCATACTGGTCTCAAACTCCCGACCTTATGAGATTCACCCACCTCAGGCTCTCAAAATTCTAGGATGACAGACGTGAGCCACCTCGCCCGGCCTAAAAGCCATTTTAATGGAGTGAGATGAAAACTCACTTTGATTTTAATTTGCGTTTCTCTGATGATGAGTGATACTGAGCAGTTTTTCGTATGTGGGGAAATTTCATGTCTTTTGCTCCTTTTTCAATTAAATCATTTGTTTTATTGAGTTGTTTGAGCTTCTTATATTTCTAGTTATTAATCCCATCTCAGATGCATAGTTTGCACATATTTGCTCCCAATCTGTGGGTTGTCTCTTCACTTTGTTGGTTTATTTTTAGCAGTGCAGAAGTTGCTTAGTTTGAGGTAATCCCAATGGTCTATTTTTGCTTCGATTACTTGTGTTTTCAAGGTTTAAAACAAAATGTCTTTCTTCAGACAAATGTCCTGGAGCATTTCCCCAATATTTTGTTCTACGTGTTTCATAGGTTCAGGCCTTAGACTCACATCTTTAATCCATTTTCATTTGATTTTTGTGTATGGTGACAGGTAGAGGTGCAGTTTCATTCCTCTGCATGTCGATGTCCAGGTTTCCCTGCACTGTTTATTGAAAAGACTGTCCTTTCCTGATTGTGAGTTCTTGGCACCTTTGTCAAAGTCCATTGGATGGGCTGGGCTTGGTAGCTAACACCTGCAATTTCAGCACTTTGGGAGGCCGAGGCGGGTGGATTACCTGAGGCCAGGAGTTCAAGATCAGTCTGGACGACGTGATGAAACATCGTCTCCACTAAAAATATAAAAATTAGCTGAGCATGGTGGTCAGCACCTGTAATACCACTACTCAGGAGTTTGAGGCAAGAGAATGATTGAACCCAGGAGGCTGAGGTTGCAGTGAACTGAGATTGCACCTCTGCACTCCAGCCTGAGTGACAGAGCAAGACTCCATCTCAAAAGAAAAAATAAAAACCATTGGATGTAAATGCATGGAATATATCTGTGTTATTCATTCTGCTCCATTGTTCTATGTGCCTTTCTTTATGCCAATGTCATGCTGTTTTGCTTACTACAGCTCTGTAACATATTTTGAGATCAGGTAGTGTGATGCTCCTGTTTTCTCTTTATACCTTGAAGTCTCAAGACAGTGGGTGTCACATAAAAAAATTATGGAAAAAAGGATCCCAGGACTCCCAGGGCCCAATATTAGATAACAGAGTGTTGGCCATGAACCATCCTCAAAGATTTCCACTGAGTAGAGGACAGACACCCTCATTTCCTCACCTCTCTCCTGTCTCGTGTTCTAGGAAACTCTTCAAATAGTTGGCCTTCACCCACTGAACCAAGCTCCGAAACCGGTGAGTACAGAACCCTCTTATATCCGCTTTTGGAAACCTGGGGAGGTGGAAACCTTGGATTCAGGCGTTGACTCAGCATCTCACAGCTCTGACATTGTACCCCTGTCTTCCACCATCTCCGAACTCCAGATACTCCAACAGCGAAAGGGATCTGGGCCCAACACAGGGCTCAGTGAAATCTCTTCATCCCTCATTTTATGGAGCTGAGACCTCCTACAAGCTAGAAGAATGATTGCCAATCTGACATCCTTCTCAGGAAAAATGCAATGTTTGTTCTGCCTGCATTCCTAACTGGAGGATAAATTCCTGGAGACTTGAGAGAGGGAAGGGAAGGGAACATCTGATGAGGGCGAGGTGTTTTAGAGAAGTTCCACTTGCCAAGGAATGAGCTCCTGTAGGTCATGAAGCAACCCTGGCTGACTCCGCAGAGAAAGCGCCTTGCCGTAACAGAGAACAGAGCTCATGCACGCACACTTCGACTCACTGACTCATTCAGCCACGGCCCCATGCTCAGGCTGTGCAGTGTGGAAGCTTTTCCTATTGTTGCCATAACAAATTTCCACAAGATTCGTGGGTGAAAACAAAACGGTTTTTTAATTATCTTACAGTGCTCTAGCTCAAAGTATGAAGTGCATCTCACTGGGCTAAAATCAAGGCGACAGCAAGGCTGCCTTCCCTCTGAGGGTTCCAGGCAAGAATCTGCTTCTCACTTGTCCCAGCTTCTAGAGGCTCCCACATTCCTTCGCTCCTGGTCCCCTTCCTCCTTCCTCAAAGCCCACAAAGGCTGGTCACATCTCACGTGGCATCACTCAGACCCTTCTTCCTTACCACACCTCTTTATCTGAATGCTGCTCTCCCTTCTTCCTCATCTTTTGAAAACTTGGGGATTCTATTGGGTTCACCAAGATGAAAATCCATCATAATCTCCAGGAAATCATTCAGGATACCCTTGTTTTAAGTTCAGCTGATTAGCAACCATAATTCCATCTGCAATCTTCATTCCTCCTTTCCATGTAAAATAAGATATTCACAAGCTATGGAGGCTAGGACAGGGACATTTTGGGGTGGGACAGCATTCTCCTACCTTCCACAAACAGTGAACAAGATGCATTTGGCCTCTGCCCTTGGGACACTGATATTGCAGATGGTTAAATGGGAGGGCAGAAAATGAATGCACAAGTGGACCAATAAATGAATGATCCATTGGGAAGCATCTGTGTATGAAATCTATTTGTTTGTTTCTTCGTTTGTTTATTGAGACAGAGTCTCCCTCCGTCTTCCAGGCTACAGTGCAGTGTCACCATCTTGGCTCACTGCAACCTGCACCTTCTGGATCCAAGTGATTCTCCTGCGTCAGCCTCTCGAGTAGCTGGGATTACAGGCAACTGCCACCATGCCCGGCTAATTCTTTTTGTATATTTTTTGTAGAGGATGTTTCACCATCTTCGCCAAGCTTCTCTGAAACTCCCAACCTCAAGTGATCCGACCGTCTCAGCATCCTAAAGTACTGGGATAACTGGCGTGAGCCACTGTGCCCAGCCAGAATTTAAAATAAATAATACATAATGCTGAGTGTATGATTTTGGGTGACAGAGAAGATCTCACTAATCAGATATTTGTGACATTAATGAAAAACACGGATTGAACCCCTGAAAGATTGGCGGAAGGATTTTCCACACACAGCTGTCAGCCGTGAAGGCAGAAAGCTGAAAACAATCTGATGTGGAAGGAAGAGGCTCTGCCTCAAATGCTGGGAATGAGATGGGGAGAATGACAAGACGACTGTGGAGAGACGGAGAGCACACTGGGTACACAGGAAACTAAGGAGCAACAAGGAGTGTGTGTTTGACACTCACAGCCATTGGATTCACCTCGGGGTAGCCAGGAATCCCTACATGATTAATAGTGACTGACATGAAAATAAGGGAGGCCCAGGTGCGTAACTGGAATCTAGGAGACCGTGGAAAAGGCAATTCCCGCCTCACTGGTGAAATGTGGTGCTGATTTAGACCCTAACTGGGTGAAGCAGATGGATATAAGATATGCTTGTGAGGTGGAATCATTGGCTGGAAAGGCTTGCTGGGTATGATTTTCCTAGTTGTCTAATCCTCGCTTAATTTCTTTCTGAGCTTTATTCCTACTACACATAAATCAATACCTGGCAAAGGAGTGACAGATATATGAGGGGTGGTGGAAATGAAGGGACCTATTACAGCATAATATACAAGTCTGTGAACGGTGGCTCACGCCTGTAACCCAGCACTGCAGGAGGCCAAGGCGGGTGGATCACACGAAGTCAGCAGTTCGAGACCAGCCTGGCCAACATGGTGAAACCCTGTCTCTAGGAAAAACACAAAAATTAGCCGAACATGGTGGTGCATCCCTGTAATGCCAGCTCCTACTCTGGAGGATGAAGCAGGAGAATGACTTCAACCCAGGAGGTGGAGTTTGCAGTGAGTGGAGATTGCATCACTGCACTCCAGCCTGGGTGACACAAGGAGACTCCGTCTCAAAAAATAAAAATAAGAAATGCATAAATATAAATATAATATAACACACGCAAATGACAAAGGGACCTGAATTCCAATCATGATTTTTCTATTTCTCTATAATTACTTCTTTGATCCTTTATCTTATCCATTAGGCAATGAGCCTAAAACCTCTTCCCTATTTGGCTTTCTGTGAGCATGAGATCATATAGAAAATGTGAAAGCCCGCTGAATCCTCCAGCACAGATCCTGGAATACACAAAGTGCTCTGTTCATCACAAAAAAAACATGCCCTCTCACCCAAATCCCCCACCTCACCCCTACTTCCAATCATCTGTGGAGATTCAGATAGGCCATGGGGAGGTAAATTCTAATACTCCTTGGAGTGAGTCCAGATCTTGGAATCAGAGATCAGCGTCAGCACTAGCTCCTGCTCCCCTTTCCTACTAATTCACAGGAGGACAGGTGGTATTGAAGCAATAGATGGCCGAGGGTGTGGTCCTTCCCCCAGCCTCTGGGGTAGAACAGCAGCCTAACATGTGTCTCCTGAGATCACAAAGAGTAGCACGTTTCACATGGGCTTCAACACTATTTCCTGGCCATTTGACATAAGAGAATTCTACTTCGCTTTTTTTATCTTGATTTCACTTTTGTTTCCTTTTCTTGGAGAATGCAAGTTGTTTGACTCAAGAATGCCGTGGATGTATAAATCCTAAAGCACATTCGCTGTGTATCAATCCCAGTGCAGTCTTCCCAGAGAAGACTCTAAACACCTCCTGGACTGCACCTGGGCCTATGCCAATTCCTATCACTCACCGTCACTCCAGGAAGACAGAACACACAGAGAATACATTACACAGGCAGGTTCATTACTAACAGATAAGCAGCGAGTGACAACAGAAGCCTACATTTCAATGTGAGCCAGTCCCTCAAGGCTCAGAAAAGCTGCTCGGGACATATGGAGTCACCCCATTTGCAGTGTAGCTGGGGGAAGCCAGAAAGCAGCCCAGCCTGGGTTTTGTACCCTGGAGCCACAGGAAGCACTCAGCTAAAGCACTGCATGACGCCTTCCTCCAGGAAGAACAGGAAGACAGCCCAGGCTGTTCTGAGACATTCCTCCTGATCTCAGGACGTTGCTGTCGTAGTTTTTTTTTGTTGCTCTAAAGGAAAACTTGAGCCTCGGTAACTTCTAAAGAAAAGAGATCGGTTTGCCTCACCGTTCTGCAGGCTGTACTGGAAGCATGGCACCAGAATCTATTTCTTGTGACGGCCTCAGGCTGCTCCCACTCTGGCAGAAGGGAAGGAGGGTCTGTCTGTGCAGAGACCGCAGAGATCACACGGCAAGAGAGAGAGTAAGGGGGAGGGGGAGCGATGGAGCTTCCAAGCTCTTTTGAACAACCAGCTCTCCGGGAACTAATAGAGGGGGAACTTGCTAACCCCGTCTCCTTGGGACAGCATTGTTCTGTTCATGATGGATCCACCTCCATGACCCAAACACCTCCCAAGAGGCCCAACCTCCCACAGTGGGGGTGAAATTTCCATGTGAGGTTTGAAGGGGTCAGACATCTCAACTAAAGTAGTTGTATCCTCAGCACGTTCTATGGTTACTATGAGAGCTATAATTGAGAAAGCAGGGGAAAGCTAGGTCTCCCACCATTTGGGTGCTTGTCCTAAAGAGACGTTGTATGTGGTTACCTGTCAATCAAGAAATGCGAGACAATTCATAAAGAGGAACTGCTATGATTAGCTTCTTATTGGTGTCTCCTCTTCTTCCAGGTAACCCCAGACACCTACACGTTCTGATTGGGACCTCAGTGGTCAAACTCCCTTTCACCATCCTCCTCTTCTTTCTCCTTCATCGCTGGTGCTCCAACAAAAAAAGTAAGTCTCACGAAGCAGAGGCCAGAGAGCTCAGGGCCATGTGGGGAAGCAGGATGGTAGCACGCGGGTGTGTGTTCCTCACAGGCAGGATGGTCCCTGGCCCAAGGCAGGAGCCACAGAGGCAGGACTTTCTAGAGAGAGCACCAGATTCCCTTCCCCTGCCTTCAGCTCACAGACCATTGCCTGATTCTGAACTGTACCCTCACGTCCCCTGCAGCCACTCACATCCAGGAGAAGGTTCCATGACAGGCAGAAAGTGGGAGATAGAATCAATGGGATGGGAACTCAGAGCTATTCATGGGATGGGTCCTTGAGCTCAGAGAGATAGAATGTCTGAGTCTGCTGTTGGCAACTGAGGGACCTCAGGCACCTATGGCCTCCCCCTGTTTGTTGGTATCTGCTTATGAAATGAGGACCCAGAAGTGCCCTCCGAGCTGTTTTGTTGACTTCCATCTTCTACAGATGCATCTGTAATGGACCAAGGGCCTGCGGGGAACAGAACAGTGAACAGGGAGGTAGGTGCTCCTCGGCCCAGCCTCGTGGCTAGTCTTATTCCCAAAGAGTCCTGAAAAATGTGAGCACCCTCCCTCACTCAGCATTTCCCTCTCTCCAGGATTCTGATGAACAGGACCATCAGGAGGTGTCATACGCATAATTGGATCACTGTGTTTTCACACAGAGAAAAATCACTCCCCCTTCTCAGAGGCCCAAGACACCCCCAACAGATACCAGCATGTACATAGAACTTCCAAATGCTGAGTCCAGATCCAAAGCTGTCTTCTGTCCACGAGCACCACAGTCAGGCCTTGAGGGGATCTTCTAGGGAGACAACAGCCCTGTCTCAAAACCGGGTTGCCAGCTCCCATGTACCAGCAGCTGGAATCTGAAGGCATCAGTCTTCATCTTAGGGGATCGCTCTTCCTCAAACCACGAATCTGAACATGCCTCTCTCTTGCTTACAAATGTCTAAGGTCCCCACTGCCTGCTGGAGAGAAAACACACTCCTTTGCTTAGCCCACAATTCTCCATTTCACTTGACCCCTGCCCACCTCTCCAACCTAACTGGCTTACTTCCTAGTCTACTTGAGGCTGCAATCACACTGAGGAACTCACAATTCCAAACATACAAGAGGCTCCCTCTTAACACAGCACTTAGACACGTGCTGTTCCACCTTCTCTCATGCAGTTCCACCTCCCCTCAGACTATCTTTCAGCCTTCTGTCAGCAGTAAAACTTATAAATTGTTTTTAGTAATTTCAATGTAGTTTTCCCTCCTTCAAATAAACATGTCTGCCCTCATGGTTTCGGTAATGGGACTCTTTTCTTGCCTAAGGCTTCTGGTGTTATCATTACCATGTCCACATAACCCCATCTGTTCTCCACTGGGTTCTCACCCCTGGACTCTGAGCTTCTGGAACAGGGTGGACCCTGACTTGTCTCTGAGACTCCAATTTCCATCCAAAGATGCAGCACATAGGAAGTTCCAAGGATCGTGAATCACATGAACAAGTGATATTCTTACTCTCTGCAGACCTGGAAAGCTGGCAGAGTCATTCCATGATGAAACATTTGTAGAGTCATAGGCCTTGTTAGTCTCATCTCCACGGGGACACATGTCAACGCATCATCTTTCATACTATAAATATACAGTCGCTCCTCCGTATCTGTGGGGTTTACAGGTGTTTATTGAACCAAGTATAAATCAAAAATATTCAGAGAAAAAGCCCACAAAGTTCCAAAAAGCAAAACTGTGTTGAATGCACACAAATGAGGTGGTGTATAGGCTGTATCAGGAATTATAAGTAATCAAGAGATGATTTCATGTATACAGGAGGATGTGCATGGGTTATATCCAAATGCTGTGTCATTTTATGTAAGAGGCTTGAGCATCTGCAGATTTTAGTATCTGAGTGGAGATCCTGAAACCAATCACCCATGAATAGTGAAGGATGACGGTATAGGACTTTTATTTCTCAAATTTAAATATAAATCATAAAAAATGTACAATAACTAGATAAAAACTAAGAAGTGTTTTTATAGTGTGAGAATAAGTTTAGATTTATTATTTCCTATGTGTAACCCTTTGGTTTAATATTATTTATTGAGAAGACATTCTATGCCACCTTAAACCACACGGCAGCCTTTGTCAACTAAAAAGGGACTGTGTGTACACGGATGTGTATTTTAGACACTGTCTCTGCTAAACGGCTCTCTGTGTCCACATTCTTGAGGATGCTCCACTTTATGTAGCCCCATAGAACCCTTTAAATTTAGTAGCCAGAGGCCTCTAATTTGTTATTATAGGCTATTTGCTATTTTTATTTTCTTGAGGCGGAGTCTTGCTCTGTCGCCCAGGCTGGACTGCAGTGGTGCAATCTCAGCTCACTGCAACCTCCGCCTCCCAGGTTCAAGCGATTCTCGTGCCTCAGCCTCTTGGGTAGCTGGTGTTACAAGTTCCTGCCACTGGGCACGGCTAATTTTTGGATTTTTAGCAGAGACACGGTTTCACTGTGTTGCCAGGCTGCTCTCAAACTCCTTATATCAGTTGATCCGCCCACCTCGGCTTCCCGACGTGCTGGGGGAAACTTGATTTTCTATAGCATTATGTTACTGGATATTTCTGTAAAATTTAAAATGAGGGAGGGAGAGAGACAGAGAGAGAGCAAACTCCAGAGTTGGGACTCTGGAAACTTGGGTCATGAGACAAATTTTAGATAAATCTACAAAAATCCAGAGTTTAAATGTGTGGTTTTTGCTGATAACGTACAATTCAAAGATTGTAAATAATTGCATAATCCTTCCCTGGGAATTTAAATCATTTTAACTGGTTCTGCTGTAATACTAGAAATACAAGCATGAAAAATTCTAATGGTTTATTAGTCACAATGACTCTGAAAACCTTAATAATACCTATTAGATATTTTGCATATTACACAGGAAGAAGAGTTTGAATCTCAGATAAAAACAATAAAAATACATGAAAAGTCTTTCACGTTAGCACAGATTTTAGGCATCTCGTGTTCAGGAGGTTGGATCTGAGACGTGTTTTGAGTTGGTCATAGTGAAGGACGCTAGGTGTAAATTCTAGTGAGAACAATTTCCAGGAAGCCGTGTTCCGCTCTTGAGCGAGCAACCACTGGGCCTCATGCAAGGTAGAAAGAGCCTGCGTACGTCACCCTCCCATGATGTGGTCAACATGTAAACTGCATGGGCAGGGCGCCAAATAACATCCTGTGCGCTGCTGAGCTGAGCTGGGGCGCGGCCGCCTGTCTGCACCGGCAGCACCATGTCGCTCACGGTCGTCAGCATGGCGTGTGTTGGTGAGTCCTGGAAGGGAATAGAGGAAGGGAGTGTGGGGTTGGAGATCTGGGCCCAGAGGTGGATATATAGGCCTGGAGGTGGAGTTGTGGGCCTGGAGTGGAGATCTGGGCCTGGAGTGGATATATGGGCCTAGAGATGGAGTGATGGGCCTAGAAGTGGAGATCTGGGCCCAGAGGTCGAGATATAGGCCTGGAGGTGGAGTGATGGGACTGTAGTGGAGATCTGGGCCTGGAGTGGAGATAGGAACCTGGAGGGGAGATAGGAACCTGGAGGGGAGATATGGGCCTGGAGGTGGAGATATGGGCCTGGAGTGGAGTCATGGGCCTGGAGGTGGAGTTACGGGCCTGCAGTAGAGATATGGGCCTGAAGTGGAGACATGGGCCTGGAGTGGAGATATGGGCCAGGAGTGGAGATATGGGCCTAGAGGTCGATATCTGGGCCTGGAGTGGAGATATGGGCCAGGAGTGGAGATATGGGCCTAGAGGTCGATATCTGGGCCTGGAGAGGAGATATGTGCCTAGGATGGAGATACGGGCCTGGGTGTGGAGATATGGGACTGGAGAGGATATATGGGCCTGGAGTGGAGATATGGGACTGGAGAGGAGATATGGACCTGGAGTGGAGATAAGGGCCTGGATTGGAGATATGGGCCCAGGGTGGAGATCTGAGCCTGGATTGGAGATATGGGCCTGGATTGGCGATATGGGCTTAGGGTGGAAATATCGGCCTGGAGTGGAGATATGGGCCTGGAGTGGAGATATGGGCTTGAGGTGGGGATATGGACCTGGAGGCTGGGTCTCTGCACAGCCGACAGCCCTGTTCTTGGGTGCAGGTAGGCACTGAGGGTGAGTTTACCTTCAGCCCAGGAAGGGCCTGGCTACCAAGACTCACAGCCCAGTGGGGGCAGCAAGGGTGCCCTGGTTTGCCTGCAGATGGGTCATCCATCATGATCTTTCTTTCCAGGGTTCTTCTTGCTGCAGGGGGCCTGGCCACATGAGGGTGAGTCCTTCTCCAAACCTTCGGGTGTCATCTCCCCACATAAGAGGATTTTCCTGAAATGGGAGGGAAGTCCTGTCAGGGAGTCTCTCATAAACTAGGAAGAAGGGACCCTGGGGTGCTGGGCCCACATTTCTGACCTTGCCTCCCTGGCCTTTCATTCCCTTGGCAGAGTCAAGTTCTGTGGGGACCAGGGTTAGACTACGGTGCTCAAAGCTGGGGTGTGTGGTGGGGAAGTGGTAGGAACAGCAGATCCTCTGAGGACAAAGGTGTTACTCACACACTTCAGCGTTTCCATGACGGTAGGGGCTGCAGTGTGGCTGCTGTCATTCTACCAGAAGAGGTGGGAAAACCACAGCCATGGCCCTGACATTCCAATCCTCTGATGGGGACTCAGTTGTTTATTTTCGTTCAGGCATCGGCTGATATTCCATTCTCAAAGGACATGCCCTCCACCCCATGTCTACCCTGTGTTGTTTTATGTGAGTAATCTTACAGTATTAAAATCTAGTAGGAGTCTCTTACTCAGCACTTGCTCAAAGTTCTCAGCTGACACTTTTGTTGTAGGGAGACACCTTGTGTTTGCGGGATGGGTTCTTCCTTTAGCCCTGGGCACCAAGGTGTGATAGCAGCCATAGAAACTTGGAAAGCGAGGAGAATCTTCAGAGCACAGGGAGGGAGGGGCGGCTCCACATCCTCCTCTCTAAGGCGGTGCCTCCTTCTCCCCACGGTGGTCAGGACAAGCCCTTGCTGTCTGCCTGGCCAAGCCCTGTGGTGCCTCCAGGATATGTGATTCTTCAGTGTCATTCTTATCTTGGGTTTAACAACTTCAGTCTGTAAAAGGAAGATGGGGTGCCTGTCCCTGAGCTCTACAACATAATATTCTGGAACAGCCTTTTCATGGGCCCTGTGACCCCAGCACACGCAGGGACCTATACATGTCGGGGTTCACAACCACACTACCCCAGTGGGTGGTCGGCACCCAGCAACCCCCTGGAGATCACGGTCACAGGTCAGAGGGCTCCTGTCTGGGATTCTCCTTGTCCCACCTCCTGAATCCCAGAGCTCCTGGTGGGCGTGTCCTTGCGGGTCCCATCATGCAAGTCCTGACTGTATTTGGGGTAAAGGGGGATTGAATACAGGGAAATGGGTGCTGTGGTGGGAAGAATAATTGTCCCCAGTGATGACTACATTCTAATCCCTGGAGTCTGTGACTATTTATGATATAGGGGAAGGGACTGAAGGAGAAGATGGAGCTCAGGTTGTTGATGAGTTGACCTTGAGATGGGGAGACAACCTGGACTGTCCTGATGGGCTCAGTGTAGTCACAGGGGTCCACAGGAAAGGAGGAGGAAGAGGGGAGTGGGGATTACAGCAGCATAATGGGAGTCTCCATCAGCTTTGAAGGTGGAGGAAGTCCAGGAGCCATGAATGCAGGTGGCCTATAGAGGCTGGAAAAGTCAAGGAACTGATTCTCCTGAGTCTCCAGAGGGAACGAAGCCCTGCAGGTACCTTGATTTTACCCACGACAAACAGGGTCCGATTTCTGTCTCCAGAATTGGAAGGGGTTAGTGTGCTCTCTCCTGCTGCCATGCTTCTGATAATTTTCTACAGCAGCAACAGGAAACCAACACTGGAACCCAGGTCAAGGACAAGTTAAGAAACAACACAAGGATAGCCAGGCATGGTGGCAGGTGCATGTAATCCTAGCGACTTGGGAGGCTGAGGGCAGGAGAATCACTTGAACCCAGGAGACAGAGGTTGCAGTAAGCCTAGACCACACCACTTCACTCCAGCCTGGGCAAAGGAGTGAGACTCTGTCGCCAAAATTAATTAATTAATTAAAGAAACCAAACAAGGAGAAGGTTGGCTACACTGAGATCAGCAAGGCTCGGATGATGATGCCACCACCAGGCTCCATCCACATAGGGAGCGGTTGATACTCCTCCAACCAGCACCAGGAGCCAGGCTATGGAAGCTGGCACTGGCATGGCAAGAGTGTCTCCCAGTCCCTACCAGGAACAGGGTGTGTGGCCACTGGTGCCTGCCTTACTGATCAGTTCATACCTCCTGCCAAGGATTCCAATTCGTCCAAAAGAGATTGAACCAGGCTGCTAAGAGCCTGGATGTGCAGCCTATCCTGGTTCCTCTTCCACCCCCACACAGACAGCAGGAAAGACATTAGTTCGAAATAGATACAACAGCCCAAGAGATGAGGCTGAGCCCAGCGGCAAGGGAATCAGAGGCTACTAGAGACAGAGGGACAGAGAAGAGTGAGGGAGACAGATGGAAGGACCTGCACCAGGAGTTATGGGCACAGAAAAGAACATGAAGACACAGAGAGGAAGGAGAGAGATAAGACACCAGGAAGGGGAAGCCTGACTCAATCCAGGTGCCATGGATGGGATGATAAAGAGAGACACCTTCTAAACTCACAACCTCTCTTCCTAGGAGTCCACAGAAAACCTTCCCTCCTGGCCCACCCAGGTCGCCTGGTGAAATCAGAAGAGACAGTCATCCTGCAATGTTGGTCAGATGTCATGTTTGAACACTTCCTTCTGCACAGAGAGGGGATGTTTAACGACACTTTGCGCCTCATTGGAGAACACCATGATGGGGTCTCCAAGGCCAACTTCTCCATCAGTCGCATGAAGCAAGACCTGGCAGGGACCTACAGATGCTACGGTTCTGTTACTCACTCCCCCTATCAGTTGTCAGCTCCCAGTGACCCTCTGGACATCGTGATCATAGGTGAGAGTGTCCAGACTTTCTTCTCATTGTCATTGGGATGCAGAGTGAATGATCCAGGACTTGGAGGCCCAGGTGGCTGTAAGGAAGATGAGCTTGGTATTCTTATGGAGAGAGACTGACTTGGTGAGGTCTGTGCCAACAGAGACAGAGAAACAGGAGACACAAGTAGAGACCAGGTGTCATAACAGAGAACAGACACAGGGGCCATACCGGGAGTTTGAAAAGACAGAAAGAGTTAAAGGAAACACACAGACAGACATGTCCCAGAGAGAGGTGTCCCTCCATGCTGACTTTGCTCAGAGACCTGGCACAGGTTAGAAGTTTCATTTCTGTTTTACCTCCACAAAGTGTTCTCTACCAGGAGAACCCAAGGACACCCATATTTCTGACCTGAGTTGGGCCCTGTGGCCTCAGGCCTTGTGGCACCTACAGATGCCATGTTTATTCTGACACCTCTGCCTTCCATGTAATGGAGAGTAATCGTCCCAGGATATCATGGCCCCACAACACCAACCCCTGTATGCTGTGTGAACTTGTAGTCTCCAGACTGGATTCTGAGGCTCATATTCCAAATAAGCCCACTTATGAGAGGATCAGTGAGAGGCACAGAGAGAAATCAGGGACACCAAAAAGCAAAGACATAAACACACAGAGAATGAGCCAGAGGAAGGAGATTGAGAGACTCACAGACACATAAAGAGAAAAGAGGGCAGAGAAGTGAGAATGATGGAAGGGAGCAGAGAAAAGCACTAAAATTAGACTCCTGAGGGAGAGGCACAAGGACATTGAAAGATGGAGATGTGGGGATGAATTGCAGAGATTCCAAAGAGAACTAGAGAGACCGAGAGGCAGAGCAAGACAGATGATAGATGGATAGATATAGATAGATGATAAATAGGTAGATGATAGATAATAGGTTATAGATACATAGATGATGATTGATTGATTCATTAATAGATGAGACATAGAGATGATGATGATGAAGACAGATAGATAGATAATACATAGAGATACAGAGGCAGACATAGAGAAATCATAGAGAGAGAGAGATGATACATAGATATAGATAATAGATGATTGATGGATAGATAGACAATTGATGGATAAATAGATGATATATAGATATAGATGACAGGTAGAGAATTTGTAGATAGGCACCGAATAGATAAATAGATAGATCGATAGATAATAGATAGAAATATGCAGAAAGTTATGAACAGGACACAAAGTGAGAAACTCAGAATTAAAAAAAGTAACATCAAGTCAACCAATCCAAGGAGAGTCAGAGAGAATAAAACAATCCAAAAAGAGAAAACATATCTAGAGGTGGGGAAGTGAGGTCAGAGACCTAAAGAGACAGAGAAGGTGGAAGGAGGAAATAGACATGAAGAGCGATGGGGTAGAGGGTGAGAGAGAGAGAGAGAGAGCATTAGGTCATAGAGCAGGGGAGTGAGTTCTCAGCTCAGGTGAAGGGAGCTGTGACAAGGAAGATCCTCCCTGAGGAAACTGCCTCTTCTCCTTCCAGGTCTATATGAGAAACCTTCTCTCTCAGCCCAGCCGGGCCCCACGGTTCTGGCAGGAGAGAATGTGACCTTGTCCTGCAGCTCCCGGAGCTCCTATGACATGTACCATCTATCCAGGGAAGGGGAGGCCCATGAACGTAGGCTCCCTGCAGGGACCAAGGTCAACGGAACATTCCAGGCCAACTTTCCTCTGGGCCCTGCCACCCATGGAGGGACCTACAGATGCTTCGGCTCTTTCCGTGACTCTCCATACGAGTGGTCAAAGTCAAGTGACCCACTGCTTGTTTCTGTCACAGGTGAGGAAAGCCCATGGCTGTCCCATGTCCTATGATCCTAGAGCCTTAGCTGAGGAGCTTCCTGCTGATGATGGAGAGAAGCATGGACAGATGCAGAGAGAAGACGCAGCCTCGGTGTGAGGGAGGGATCAGGGCACAGGATGGCCGACAGGGCACCTCCAAACCCTCCTACATGGCCTGCATGGAGGCCCACGGCCAGGGCTCCAGGCACCCAGGCAGATGGAGAAAGCGGTCAGGAGAGACCCAGAGGAGGGAGACTGGGCTCAGTTTGGGGAGATCAGAGGTTCCCTCAGCCCCTCAACCTTACCCATTTCCCAGAAGCCCATCCTGGCCTCTCACCCACACAGAGATGTCATCACCAGCAACCCCTACACCCTTTACTTTTCTTTGAAGAAATATTTATTGAGGATAAATATACCTATATAGCTTACCACTTTTAACATTTTTTTTTGAGGTGGAGTCTAGCTGTGTCCCCTATGCTGGAGTGCAGTGGCACAATCTCAGCTCACTGCAACCTCCACCTCCTGGGTTCAAGCGATTCTCCTGCCTCAGCCACCTGAGTAGCTGGTGCTACAGGCACGCACCACCACGCCAGGCTACTTTTTGTATTTTTAGTAGGGAGGTGGTTTCACCATGTTGGTCGAGCTGGTCTCGAACTCCTGACCAAGTGATCCACCCGCATCTGCCTCCCAAAGTGCTGGGATTACAGGCATGGGCCACCGCGCCCAGCCACATTTACCATTTTTAAGTGTAAAGTCTAGTGGTCATAAATACATTTATATACATATATATATATATACATTTTTTTTACCCTCCACCCTTTTCTTCCTGTCCTCCAGTAGCCACCATTCTACTCTCTACCTTCATGAGATCCACCTTTTAGCTCCTGTATATGGGTGAGAAATGGGAATCTTTGTAATGACCTCCAGTTCCATCCATGTGGCTGCAAATGACAGGATGTTATTCTTTCTATGGATGAGTAGTCTCCACTATGCGTATGTACTACATTCTCTCTATCCATTTACCCACTGATGGGCAGGTAGGTTGACTCCTCATCTTGGCTACTGTGAACAGTGCTGCACCAATCATACGAGTGCAGATATCACTTCGATATATTGATTTACTTTCCTTTGGATATAAACCCAGTAGTGAAATTGCTGGATACTATGAAAGTTCTCTTTTTTTCTTTTTTTCTTTTTTGAGAAAGAGTTTCCCTCCTTAGCCCAAGCTGGAGTCAAAGTGGTGCGACCTTGGCTCATTGCAACCTACGCCTCCTGGGTTCAAATGATTTTCCTGCCTCAGCCTCCCTAGTAGCTGGGATTACAGGTGCACACCACCATGCCTGGCTACTTTTTGGTTTTTTTAGTATAGATGGGGTTTCCCCATGTTGGCTGGGCTGCTCTCAAACTCATGACCTCAACTGAGGTGCCCGCCTCAGTCTCCCAAAGTGCCGGGATTACAGGCATGATCCACCGCACCCAACCTCTTTTTAGTTCTTTAAAGGACTTCCATACTTTTCTCCGTAATGGCTGTACTAATTTACACTCCTCCCAACAGGGTACCAGGGTTCTCCTTTCTCTACCACCTTGCCAGCATTTCTTTTGCCTGTCTTGCAGCTAAAAGCCATTTTATTTTATTTCATTTTATTTTGAGATGGAGTTTTGCTCTTCTCACCCAGGCTGGAGTGCAGTGGCGCGATCTCGGCTCACCACAACCTCCACCTCCCAGGTTCAAGCGATTCTCCTGCCTCAGCCTCCCGAGTAGCTGGAATTACAGGCACACGCCACCACGCCCGACTAATTTTTGTATTTTTAGTAGAGACAGTGTTTCTCTATGTGGGTCATACTGGTCTCAAACTCCCGACCTTATGAGATTCACCCACCTCAGGCTCTCAAAGTTCTAGGATGACAAACGTGAGCCACCTCACCCGGCCTAAAAGCCATTTTAATGGGGTGAGATGAAAACTCACTTTGAATTTAATTTGCGTTTCTCTGATGATGAGTGATACTGAGCAGTTTTTCGTATGTGGGGAAATTTCATGTCTTTTGCTCCTTTTTCAATTAAATCATTTGTTTTATTGAGTTGTTTGAGCTTCTTATATTTCTAGTTATTAATCCCATCTCAGATGCATAGTTTGCACATATTTGCTCCCAATCTGTGGGTTGTCTCTTCACTTTGTTGGTTTATTTTTAGCGGTGCAGAAGTTGCTTAGTATGAGGTAATCCCAATGGTCTATTTTTGCTTCGATTACTTGTGTTTTCAAGGTTTAAAACAAAATGTCTTTCTTCAGACAAATGTCCTGGAGCATTTCCCCAATATTTTGTTCTACGTGTTTCATAGGTTCAGGCCTTAGACTCACATCTTTAATCCATTTTCATTTGATTTTTGTGTATGGTGACAGGTAGAGGTGCAGTTTCATTCCTCTGCATGTAGATGTCCAGGTTTCCCTGCACTGTTTATTGAAAAGACTGTCCTTTCCTGATTGTGAGTTCTTGGCATCTTTGTCAAAGTCCATTGGATGGGCTGGGCTTGGTGGCTAACACCTGCAATTTCAGCACTTTGGGAGCCCGAGGTGGGTGGATCACCTGAGGCCAGGAGTTCAAGATTAGTCTGGCCGACGTGATGAAACATCATCTCCACTAAAAATATAAAAATTAGCTGAGCATGGTGGTCAGCACCTGTAATACCACTACTCAGGAGTTTGAGGCAAGAGAATGATTGAACCCAGGAGGCTGAGGTTGCAGTGAACCGAGATTGCACCTTTGCACTCCAGCCTGAGTGACAGAGCAAGACTCCATCTCAAAAGAAAAAATAAAAAACCATTGGATGTAAATGCATGGAATATATCTGTGTTATTCATTCTGCTCCGTTGTTCTATGTGCCTTTCTTTATGCCAGTGTCATGCTATTTTGCTTACTACAGCTCTGTAACATATTTTGAGATCAGGTAGTGTGATGCTCCTGTTTTCTCTTTATACCTTGAAGTCTCAAGACAGTGGGTGTCACATAAAAAAATTATGGAAAAAAGGATCCCAGGACTCCCAGGGCCCAATATTAGATAACAGAGTGTTGGCCATGAACCATCCTCAAAGATTTCCACTGAGTGGAGGACAGAAACCCTCATTTCCTCACCTCTCTCCTGTCTCATGTTCTAGGAAACCCTTCAAATAGTTGGCCTTCACCCACTGAACCAAGCTCCGAAACCGGTGAGTACAGAACCCTCTTATATCCGCTTTTGGAAACCTGGGGAGGTGGAAACCTTGGATTCAGGCGTTGACTCAGCATCTCACAGCTCTGACATTGTACACCTGTCTTCCACCATCTCCGAACTCCAGATACTCCTACAGCGAAAGGGATCTGGGCCCAACACAGGGCTCAGTGAAATCTCTTCATCTCTCATTTTATGGAGCTGAGACCTCCTACAAGCTAGAAGAATGATTGCCAATCTGACATCCTTCTCAGGAAAAATGCAATGTTTGTTCTGCCTGCATTCCTAACTGGAGGATAAATTCCTGGAGACTTGAGAGAGGGAAGGGAAGGGAACATCTGATGAGGGCGAGGTGTTTTAGAGAAGTTCCACTTGCCAAGGAATGAGCTCCTGTAGGTCATGAAGCAACCCTGGCTGACTCAGCAGAGCAAGAGCCTTGCCGTAACAGAGAACAGAGCTCATGCACACACACTTCGACTCACTGACTCATTCAGCCACGGCCCCATGCTCAGGCTGTGCAGTGCGGAACCTTTTCCTATTGTTGCCATAACAAATTTCCACAAGATTCGTGGGTGAAAACAAAACGGTTTTTTAATTATCTTACAGTGCTGTAGCTCAAAGTAGGAAGTGCATCTTACTGGGCTAAAATCAAGGTGACAGCAAGGCTGCCTTCCCTCTGAGGATTCCAGGCACGAATCTGCTTCTCACTTGTCCCAGCTTCTAAAGGCTCCCAGTTCCTTGGCTCCTGGTCCCCTTCCTCCTTCCTCAAAGCCCACAAAGACTGGTCACATCTCACATGGCATCACTCAGTGCCTTCTTCCTTACCACACTTCTTTCTCTGAATGCTGCTCTCCCTTCTTCCTCATCTTTTGAAAACTTGGGGATTCTATTGGGTTCACCAAGATGAAAATCCCTCATAATCTCCTGGAAATCATCCAGGATACCCTTGTTTTAAGTTCAGCTGATTAGTAACCATAATTCCATCTGCAATCTTCATTCCTCCTTTCCATGTAAAATAACATATTCACAAGCTATGGAGGCTAGGACAGGGACATTTTGGGGTGGGACAGCATTCTCCTGCCTTCCACAAACAGTGAACAAGATGCATTTGGCCTCTGCCCTTGGGACACTGATATTGCAGATGGTTAAATGGGAGGGCAGAAAATGAATGCACAAGTGGATCTATAAATGAATGATCCATTGGGAAGCATCTGTGCATGAAATCTATTTTTTGTTTGTTCTTTTGTTTATTGAGACAGAGTTGCCCTCTGTCTTCCAGGCTACAGTGCAGTGTCACGATCTTGGCTCACTGCAACCTGCTTCTCCTGGATTCAAGTGATTCTCCTGCCTCCGCCTCTCGAGTAGCTGGGATTACAGGCAACTGCCACCGTGCCCGGCTAATTCTTTTTGTATATTTTTTGTAGAGAGGATGTTTCACCACGTTGGCCAAGCTTGTCTGAAACTCCCAACCTCAAGTGATCCGACCGTCTCAGCATGCCAAAGTAATGGGACTACAGGCGTGAGCCACTGTGCCCAGCCAGAATTCAAAATCAATAATAGATAATGCTGAGTGTATGATTTCAGGTGACAAAGAAGGTCTCACTATTCAGATATTTGTGACATTAATGAAAAACACGGATTGAACCCCTGAAAGATTGGCGGAAGGATTTTGCACACACAGCTGTCAGCCGTGAAGGCACAAAGGTGAAAACAATCTGATGTGGAAGGAAGAGGCTCTTCCTCAAATGCTGGGAATGAGGTGGGGAGAATGACAAGACGACTGTGGAGAGACGGAGAGCACACTGGGTACACAGGAAACTAAGGAGCAACAAGGAGTGTGTGTTTGACACTCACAGCCATTGGATTCACCTCGGGGTAACCAGGAATCCCTACATGATTAATATGACTGACATGAAAATAAAGGAGGCCCAGGGGCGTAACTGGAATCTAGGAGACCGTGGAAAAGGCAATTCCCGACCCACTGGTGAAATGTGGTGCTGATTTTGACACTAAGTGGATGAAGCAGATGGATATAAGCTATGCTTGTGAGGTAGAATCATTGGCTGGAAAGGCTTGCTGGGTTTGATTTTCCTACTTGTTTAATCCTCGCTTAATTAATTTCTTTCTGAGATTTATTCATCCTACACATAAATCAATACCTGGCAAAGGAGTGACAGATATATGAGGGGTGGTGGAAATGAAGAGACCTATTATAGCGTAATATACAAGTCTGTGAACGGTGGCTCACGCTTGTAACCCAGCACTGCAGGAGGCCAAGGCGGGTGGATTCCATGAAGTCAGGAGTTCCAGACCAGCCTGGCCAACATGGTGAAACCCTATCTGTACTAAAAATACAAAAATTAGCCGAGCATGGTGGTGCATCCCTGTAATCCCAGCTCCTACTCTGGAGGATGAAGCAGGAGAATGACTTCAACCCAGGAGGTGGAGGTTGCAGTGAGTGGAGATTGCATCACTGCACTCCAGCCTGGGTGACACAAGGAGACTCCGTCTCAAAAAATAAAAATAAGAAATGCATAAATATAATAAAACACACACGAATGACAAAGGCACCTGAATTCCAATCATCATTTTTCTATTTCTCTATAATTACTTCTTTGATCCTTTATCTTATCCATTAGGCAATGAGCCTAAAACCTCTTCCCTATTTGGCTTTC
This sequence comes from Homo sapiens, assembly GCF_000001405.40. Taxonomy (NCBI): domain Eukaryota; kingdom Metazoa; phylum Chordata; class Mammalia; order Primates; family Hominidae; genus Homo; species Homo sapiens. The sequence goes on along the minus strand of NW_016107312.1, from coordinate 66,418 downwards.
TGTGAGCATGAGATCACATAGAAAATGTGAAAGCCCGCTGAATCCTCCAGCACGGATCCTGGAATAGAGAAAGTGCTCTGTTCATCGCAAAAAAAAACTTGCCCACTCACCCAAATCCCCCACCTCACCCCTACTTCCAATCACCTGTGGAGATTCAGATAGACCATGGGGAGGAAACATTAATACTCCTTGGAGTGAGTCCAGATCTTGGAATCAGAGATCAGCGACAGCACTAGCTCCTGTTCCCCTTTCCTACTAATTCACAGGAGGACAGGTGGTATTGAAGCAATAGATGGTGGAGGGGGTGGTCCTTCCCCCAGCCTCTCGGGTAGAACAGCAGCCTAACATGTGTCTCCCGAGATCACAAAGAGCAGCACATTTCACACGGGCTTCAACACTATTTTCTGGCTGTTTGACATAAGAGAATCTTGCTTCGCTATTTTTAATCGTGATTTCACCTTTGTTTCCTTTCCTTGGTGAATGCAATTTGTTTGACTCAAGAATGCTGTGGATGTAGAAATCCTAAAGCACATTCGCTGTGTATCAATCCCAGTGCAGTCTTCCCAGAGAAGACTCTAAACAAATCCTGGACTGCACCTGGGCCTATGCCAATTCCTATCACTCACCGTCACTCCAGGGAGACAGAACACACAGAGAATACGTTACATAGGCAGGTTCATTACTAACAGATAAGCAGTGAGTGACAACAGAAGCCTGCATTTCAATGTGAGCCAGTCCCTCAAGGCTCAGAAAAGCTGCTCGGGACATATGGAGTCACCCCATTTGCAGTGTAACTGGGGGAAGCCAGAAAGCAGCCCAGCCTGGGTTTTGTACCCTGGAGCCACAGGAAGCACTCAGCTAAAGCACTGCATGACGTCCTCCTCCAGGAAGAACAGGAAGACAGCCCAGGCTGTTCTGAGACATTCCTCCTGATCTCAGGATGTTGCTATCTTAGTCCATTTTTGTTGCTCTAAAGGAACACTTGAGCCTGGGTAACTTCTAAAGAAAAGAGATTGGTTTGCCTCACAGTTCTGCAGGCTGTACTGGAAGCATGGCACCAGAATCTATTTCTCGTGATGGCCTCAGGCTGCTCCCACTCTGGCAGAAGGGAAGGAGGGTCTGTCTGTGCAGAGACCGCAGAGATCACACGGCAAGAGAGAGAGTAAGGGGGAGAGGGAGCGATGGAGCTTCCAAGCTCTTTTTAACAACCAGCTCTCCAGGAACTAACAGAGGGGGAACTTGCTAACCCCGTCTCCTTGGGACAGCATTGGTCTGTTCATGATGGATCCACCTCCATGACCCAAACACCTCTGAAGAGGCCCAACCTCCCACAATGGGGGTGAAATTTCAATGTGAGGTTTGAAAGGGTCAAACATCTCAACTAAAGTAGTTGTATCCTCAGCACGTTCTATGGTTACTATGAGAGCTATAATTGAGAAAGCAGGGGAAAGCTAGGTCTCCCGCCATTTGGGTGCTTGTCCTAAAGAGACGTTGTATGTGGTTACCTGCCAATCAAGAAATGCGAGACAATTCATAAAGAGGAACTGCTATGATTAGCTTCTTATTGGTGTCTCCTCTTCTTCCAGGTAACCCCAGACACCTACATGTTCTGATTGGGACCTCAGTGGTCAAAATCCCTTTCACCATCCTCCTCTTCTTTCTCCTTCATCGCTGGTGCTCCGACAAAAAAAGTAAGTCTCACGAAGCAGAGGCCAGAGAGCTCAGGGCCATGTGGGGAAGCAGGATGGGAGCACGCGGATGTGTGTTCCTCACCAGCAGGATGGTCCCTGGCCCAAGACAGGAGCCACAGAGGCAGGACTTTCTAGAGAGAGCACCAGATTCCCTTCCCCTGCCTTCAGCTCACAGACCATTGCCTGATTCTGAACTGTATCCTCACGTCCCCTGCAGCCACTCACATCCAGGAGAAGGTTCCATGACAGGCAGAAAGTGGGAGATAGAATCAATGGGATGGGACCTCAGAGCTATTCATGGGATGGGTCCTTGAACTCAGAGAGATAGAATGTCTGAGTCTGCTGTTGGCAACTGAGGGACCTCAGGCACCTATGGCCTCCCCCTGTTTGTTGGTATCTGCTTATGAAATGAGGACCCAGAAGTGCCCTCCGAGCTCTTTTGTTGACTTCCGTCTTCTACAGATGCTGCTGTAATGGACCAAGAGCCTGCAGGGAACAGAACAGTGAACAGCGAGGTAGGTGCTCCTCGGCCCAGCCTCGTGGCTAGTCTTATTCCCAAAGAGTCCTGAAAAATGTGAGCACCCTCCCTCACTCAGCATTTCCCTCTCTCCAGGATTCTGATGAACAAGACCATCAGGAGGTGTCATACGCATAATTGGATCACTGTGTTTTCACACAGAGAAAAATCACTCGCCCTTCTGAGAGGCCCAAGACACCCCCAACAGATACCAGCATGTACATAGAACTTCCAAATGCTGAGCCCAGATCCAAAGTTGTCTTCTGTCCACGAGCACCACAGTCAGGCCTTGAGGGGATCTTCTAGGGAGACAACAGCCCTGTCTCAAAACCGGGTTGCCAGCTCCCATGTACCAGCAGCTGGAATCTGAAGGCATCAGTCTTCATCTTAGGGCATCGCTCTTCCTCACACCACGAATCTGAACATGCCTCTCTCTTGCTTACAAATGTCTAAGGTCCCCACTGCCTGCTGGAGAGAAAACACACTCCTTTGCTTAGCCCACAATTCTCCATTTCACTTGACCCCTGCCCACCTCTCCAACCTAACTGGCTTACTTCCTAGTCTACCTGAGGCTGCAATCACACTGAGGAACTCACAATTCCAAACATACAAGAGGCTGCCTCTTAACACAGCACTTAGACACGTGCTGTTCCACCTCCCTTCAGACTATCTTTCAGCCTTCTGCCAGCAGTAAAACTTATAAATTTTTTAAATAATTTCAATGTAGTTTTCCCGCCTTCAAATAAACATGTCTGCCCTCATGGTTTCGGTAACGAGACTCTTTTCTTGCCTAAGGCTTCCGGTGTTATCATTACCATGTCCACATAACCCCATCTGTTCTCCATTGGGTTCTCAGCCCTGGACTCTGAGCTTCTGGAAGCAGAATGGAGCCTGATTTGTCTCTGAGACTCCAATTTCCATCCAAAGATACAGCACATAGGAGGCTCCAAGGATCGTGAATCACATGAACAAGTGATATTCTTACTCTCTGCAGACCTGGAAAGCTGGCAGAGTCATTCCACGATGAAACATTTGTAGAGTCATAGGCCTTGTTAGCCTCATCTCCACGGGGACACATATCAACATATCATCTTTCATAATATAAATATACAGTCGGTCCTCCATATCTGTGGGGTTTACAGGTGTTTATTGAACCAACAATAAATCAAAAATGTTTTCAGAAAAAAATCCCCGAAGTTTCAAGAAGCAAAAAACTATGTTGAATCGACACAAATTGAGTGGCGTGTAGGCTGTGTCAGGAATTATAAGTAATCAAGAGATGATTTCATGTATACAGGAGGATGTGCATGGGTTCTATGCAATTACTATGCTATTTTTTTTTTTTGAGACAGTCTCACTCTCTCACCCAGGCTGGAGTGCAGTGGCATGATCTCAGCTCACTGCAACCTCCGCCTCCCAGGTTCAAGCGATTGTCTTCCCTCAGCCTCCCCAGTAGCCTCCCCTAGGATTACAGGCACGTGCCACCATGCACAGATAAATTTTTTTGTGTGTGTATTTTTAGTAGAGATGGGGTTTCAGAATGTTGGACCAGCTGGTCTTGAACTCCTGACCTCGTGATCTACCCAACTCAGCCTCCCAAAGTGCTGGGATTACAGGCGTGAGCCACGGTGCCCAGCTTCGCTATGCCATTTCATGCAAGGGGCTTGAGCATCTGCAGATTTTGGTATCTGAATGGGGATCCTGGAACCAATCACCCAGGAATAGTGAAGGACCACAGTATATAATTTTTATTTGTCAATCTTAAAAATAAAGCATAAAAAGTTTACAACAACAAGATAAAAAATAAGAAGTGTTTTTATAGTGTGAGGATAAGTTTAGATTTATTTTTTCCTACGTGTAACCCTATGGTCCTGTGTTATTTATTGAGAAAATATTCTATTCCACCTTAAACTACATGGCAGCCTTTGTCAACTATGAAGGGACTGTGTATCCACAGATGTATTTTAGACACAGTTTTCTGCCCAGTGGTTCTCTGTATCCCCTCTCATGAGGATGCTGCATTTCATATAAACTTATAGAACCCCTTAAAATTTGGTAACCTGAGTTCTCTGATTTGTTATTATAGGTTATTTAGTTTGCTTTTTTTTTTCTTTCTTGAGACAGACTCTTCCTCTGTCACCCAAGCTGGAGTTCAGTGGCTTGAGCTCAGCTCACTGCAGCCTCCGCCTCCCAGGTTCAAGCAATTCTCGTGCCTCAGGTTTAGTACTAGAAACTCATCAGGAAAATTAGAATGGCTTTTTGTCACAATTANNCNNNNTCTNNGATAATGTTAATAATACCTCTTAGATATTTTGCACATTACACATGAAGAAAAGTTTGAATCTCAGATAAAAACAAAAATACATCAAAAGTCTTTAATGTAAGCACAGAATTCAATCACCTCATGTGTGAGAGGTTGGATCTGAGACGTCTTTTGAGTCTGGTCATAGTGAAGGATGCAAGGTGGCAATTGTAGTCACAACAATTTCCAGGAAGCCATGTTCCGCTCTTGAGCGAGCACCCACTGGGCCTCATGCAAGGTAGAAAGAGCCTGCGTACGTCACCCTCCCATGATGTGGTCAACATGTAAACTGCATGGGCAGGGCGCCAAATAACATCCTGTGCGCTGCTGAGCTGAGCTGGGGCGCGGCCTCCTGTCTGCACCGGCAGCACCATGTCGCTCACTGTCGTCAGCATGGCGTGCGTTGGTGAGTCCTGGAAGGGAATAGAGGGAGGGAGAGTGGGGATGGAGATCTCGGCCTAGAGGTAAAGATATGGGCCTGGAGTGGAGATATGGGCCTGGAGTGGAGATATGGGCCTGGGTGTGGAGATATGGGCCTGGAGGTGTAAATATGGGCCTGGAGTGGAGATATGGGCCTGGAGGGGAGATATGGGCCTGGGTGTGGAGATATGGGCCTGGAGTGGAGATACGGGCCTGGAGTGGAGATATGGGCCTGGAGTGGAGATATGGGCCTGCAGGTGGAGATCTGGGCCTGGAGTGGAGATATGGGCCTGGAGTGGAGATATGGGTCTGATGTGGAGATATGGGCCTGGAGTGGAGATATGGGCCTGGAGTGGAGATATGGGCCTAGAGGGGAGATCTGGGCCTGGAGTGGAGATATGGGTCTGATGTGGAGATATGGGCCTGGAGTGGAGATATGGGTCTGATGTGGAGATATGGGCCTGGAGTGGAGATAGGGGCCTGGAGTGGAGATATGGGCCTGGAGTGGAGATCTGGGCCAGGAAGTGTTGATCTGGGCCTGGAGCCTGGGTCTCTCCACAGCTGAGAGCCCTGTTCTTGGCAGCAGGTAGCAGGGAGGCTAAGTTTACCTTCAGCCCAGCAAGGGCCTGGCTGCCAAGACACACAGTGCAGTGGGGGCAGCAGGGTGCCCTGGTTTGCCTGCAGTTGGATCGTCTATCATGATCTTTCTTTCCAGGGTTCTTCTTGCTGCAGGGGGCCTGGCCACTCATGGGTGAGTCCTTCCCCAAACCTTAGGGTGTCATCTCCCCACATAAGAGGATTTTTCTGAAACAGGAGGGAAGTCCTGTCGGGGAGTCTCTCATAAACTAGGAAGAGGGGACCCTTGGATACTCGGCCCACATTTCTGACCTCGCCCTCCCCGGCCTTTCTTTCCCTTTCCTGAGTCAAGCTCTGTGAAGACTGGGGTGAGACTGGGGTGCTCCAAGCTGGGGTGTGCAGGGAGGAAGTGGTGTCAGCAGCAGAGAAAGAGAGGGAAGCAGTGCTAGGAACAGCAGGTCCTCTGAGGACAAAGGTATAACTGACACCCTCCAGCGTTTCCGTGACGGTAGGGACTGCAGTGTGGCTGCGGTCTTTCTACCAGAAGAGGGGGGAAACCACAGCCATGGCCCTGACATTCCAAATCCTCTGAGGGGGCTCAGTTCATGAATTGGCTGATATTCCATTCACATAGGACATGCCCTCCATGCCGTGTCTACTTTGTGTTGTTTTATGTGAGTAATTTTGCAGTATTAAAATCTAGTAAGAGTCACTTATTCAGCACTTGCTCAAAGTTCTCAGCTGACACTTGTTGTAGGGAGACGCCATGTCTATGTGGGGTGGGTCCTTCCTGTAGCCCTGGGCACCCAGGTGTGGTAGGAGCCTTAGAAAGTGGAAATGGGAGAATCTTCTGAGCACAGGGAGGGAGGGGTGGCTCCACATCCTCCTCTCTAAGGCAGTGCCTCCTTCTCCCCCAGGTGGTCAGGACAAACCCTTCCTGTCTGCCCGGCCCAGCACTGTGGTGCCTCGAGGAGGACACGTGGCTCTTCAGTGTCACTATCGTCGTGGGTTTAACAATTTCATGCTGTACAAAGAAGACAGAAGCCACGTTCCCATCTTCCACGGCAGAATATTCCAGGAGAGCTTCATCATGGGCCCTGTGACCCCAGCACATGCAGGGACCTACAGATGTCGGGGTTCACGCCCACACTCCCTCACTGGGTGGTCGACACCCAGCAACCCCCTGGTGATCATGGTCACAGGTCAGAGGCTTTCTGTCTGGGCTTCTCACTGTCCCACCTCCTGAATCCCAGAGCTTCTGGTGGGGGTGTCCATCAGGGTCCCATCACCCAGGCCCCAACTGTATTTGGGGTCAAGGGGGATTGAATACAGGGGAAATGGGCGCTGTGGTGGGAAGAATCACTGTCGCCAATGATGGCTACATTGTAAACCCTGGAGCCTGTGACTATTTATGTTATAGGGCAGGGGACTGAAGGGGAAGGTGGAGCTCAGGTTGTTGATGAGTTGACCTTGAGATGGGGAGACAGCCTGGACTGTCCTGCTGGGCTCAGTGTAATCACAAGGGTCCGCGTGAGAGGTGGAGGAAGAGGGGAGTGGGGATTAGAGCAGTGTAGTGGGAGGGAGACGCTATCAGCCACTGTGGGCTTTGAAGGTGGAGGAAGGCCACTAGTCACAGAATGCAGGTGGCCTCTAAGGGCTGGAGAAGTCAAGAGAACTGATTCGCTGAGTCTCCAGAGGGAACGCAGCCCTGCAGATGCCTTGATTTCAGCACAGGGAGAACTGGATCCAATTTCTGTCCCCAGAAGTGGAAGGGGTCAGTGTGTTCTCTCCTGCTGCCATGTTTGTGATAATTTTCTGCAGCAGCAACAGGAAACCGACACAGGAACCCAGGTCAAGGACAAGCTAGGAAACCAAACAAGGATAGCCAGGTGTGGTGGTGGGCACGAGTAATCCAACGACTGGGGAGGCTGAGGCAAGAGAATCACTTGAACCGGGGAGGCAGAGGTTGCAGTGAGCCAAGACAACACCACTGCACTCCAGCCTGGGTGAAAAAGTGACTGTCTCAAAAATAAATTAATTAATCAATTAATTAAAGAAACCAAACAAGGAGAAGGTTGGCTACCGTGGGATCAGCAAGGGTGGGATGCTGATGCCACCACCAGGCTCCATCCACATAGGAAGGGGTTGATGCTCCTGGAACCAGCACCAGGGACCACCCTATGGAAGCTGGGGCCATGGAGAAGGCACAGACATGGCAGGAGAGGCTCCCAATCCCCATCAGGAACAGGGTGTGTGGACACTGATGTCTGCCTTACTGATGAGTTGATACCTCTGCCAGAGACTCCAATTTGTTCAAAAGAGATTGATTCAGGCTGCTGAGAGCCTGGACATGCAGCCTGTCCTCTTCCACCCCCACATAGACAGCAGGAAAGAGACTAGTGGGAAAGAGATACAACAGCCCAAGAGATGAGGCTCTCTTCACAGTGGGAAGGGAGTCAGGGGCTACTGGAGACAGAGGGACAGAGAAGAGGGAGGAAGACAAATGGAGGGACCTGCACCAGGGGATATGGGCACAGAAAAGACACGGAGACACAGAGAGGGAGGAGAGAGACAGACCTCTGGGAGGGGAACCCTCACTCATTCCAGGTGCCATGGATGGGATGATAAAGAGAGATGCCTTCTAAACTCACAACTTCTCTTTCTAGGAAACCACAGAAAACCTTCCCTCCTGGCCCACCCAGGGCCCCTGCTGAAATCAGGAGAGACAGTCATCCTGCAATGTTGGTCAGATGTCATGTTTGAGCACTTCTTTCTGCACAGAGAGGGGATCTCTGAGGACCCCTCACGCCTCGTTGGACAGATCCATGATGGGGTCTCCAAGGCCAACTTCTCCATCGGTCCCTTGATGCCTGTCCTTGCAGGAACCTACAGATGTTATGGTTCTGTTCCTCACTCCCCCTATCAGTTGTCAGCTCCCAGTGACCCCCTGGACATCGTGATCACAGGTGAGAGTGTCCAGACATTCTTCTCATTGTCATTGGGACACAGAGTGAATGATCCAGGACTTGGAACCCCCAGGTGGTCATGAGGAAGATAAGCGTGGGATTCTTATGGAGAGAGACTGACTCGGTGAGGTCTGTACCAACAGAGACAGGGAAACAGGAGACATAAGTACAGACCAGGTGTCATAACAGAGGACAGACACAGGGGCCATACGGGGAAGTAGAAAAGAGAGAAAGAGGTAAAGGAGACACTCAGACAGACAGACATGTGCCAGAGAGAAGTGTCCTTCCATGCTGACTTTGCTCAGAGACCTGGCACAGGTTAGAAGTTTCATTTCTGTTTTGTCTCCACAAAGTGCTTCTACGAGGAGAACCCAAGGACACCCATATTTCTGACCTGAGTTGGGCCCTGTGGCCTCAGGCCTTGTGGCATCTACAGATGCCATGTTTATTCTGACACCTCTGCCTTCCATGCAGTGGAGCCATAATTATCCCAGGATATCATGGCCCCAGAACACCAACCCCTAAATACTGTGTGTACTTGGTGTCCCCAGACTAGATTCTGAGGCTCATATTCCAAATAATCCTACATATAATAGGATCACTGAGAGACACAGAGATAAATCAGGGACTTCAAAAAGCAAAGGCATAAACACACAGAGAATGAGCCAGAGGAAGGGGATTGAGAGACTCACAGACACACAAAAAGAAAGAAAAGAGGGCAGAGGAGTGGAGAGAATGCTGGAAGGGAGGAGAGAAAAGCCCCAAAATCAGAACCCTGAGGGAGGGGCACAAAGACAGAGAAAGATAAAGATGTGGGGATGGATTGCAGAGATTCCAAATAGAACTAGAGAGACTGAGAGGCAGAGAAAGACAAGGAGATGGAGAGAGACAGATGATAGATGGATAGATAGATATAGATAGATGATAAATAGGTAGATGATAGATAATGGATAGGTTATAGATACATAGATGATGATTGATAGATGATACATAGAGATGATGATGATGATGATGATGAAGATAGATAGATAGAAGACACATATATAAATATATAGATACATAGATGATACATAGAGACTGACAGGCAGACAGAGAGGTAATAGAGAGAGAGAGAGATGATACATAGATACAGATAATACATAGATGATTGATGGATAGACAGATAGACAATTGATAGATAAATGATACATAGATATAGATGACAGATAATTTGTAGATAGACACAAAATAGATAGATAGATAATAGATAGAAATATGCAGAAAGTTATGAAAAAGACAGAAAGTGAGAGACTCAGAATTATAGAAAAAGGAAGATCAAGTCAACCAATCCAAGGAGAGTCAGAGAGAATAAAACAATCCAAAAAGGGAAAGCATACCCAGGGGTGGGGAAGTGAGGTCAGAGACCTAGAGAGACAGAGAAGGCGGAAGGAGGAAATAGACATGAAGAGAGTTGGGGTGGAGGGTGAGAGAGAGAGAGAGCATTAGGTCATAGAGCAGGGGAGTGAGTTCTCAGCTCAGGTATGAGGGGAGCTGTGACAAGGAAGAACCTCCCTGAGGAAACTGCCTCTTCTCCTTCCAGGTCTATATGAGAAACCTTCTCTCTCAGCCCAGCCGGGCCCCACGGTTCAGGCAGGAGAGAACGTGACCTTGTCCTGTAGCTCCTGGAGCTCCTATGACATCTACCATCTGTCCAGGGAAGGGGAGGCCCATGAACGTAGGCTCCGTGCAGTGCCCAAGGTCAACAGAACATTCCAGGCAGACTTTCCTCTGGGCCCTGCCACCCACGGAGGGACCTACAGATGCTTCGGCTCTTTCCGTGCCCTGCCCTGCGTGTGGTCAAACTCAAGTGACCCACTGCTTGTTTCTGTCACAGGTGAGGAAAACCCGTGTCTGTCCCATGTCTTATGATCCTAGAGCCATAGCTGAGGAGCTTCCTGCCGATGATGGGGAGAAGCATGGACAGATGCAGAGAGAACACGAAGACTGGGTGTGAGGGGGGGGTCAGGGTGCAGGATGGCAGACAGGGCACCTCCAAACCCTCTTGCATGGCCTGCATGGAGGCCCATGGTCAGGGCTCCAGGCACCCAGGCAGATGGAGAAAGCGGTCAGGACAGACCCAGAGAAGGGGAGACTGGGCTCAGTTTGGGGAGATCAGAGGTTCCCTCAGCCCCTCAACCTTACCCATTTCCCAGAAGCCCATCCTGGCCTCTCACCCACACAGAGAGATGTCATCACCAGCAACCCCTACACTCTTTTCTTTTCATTTTCAAAAATATTTATTGAGGTTAAATGTAACTATATAATTTACCAACTTTACCATTTTTAAAAGTAAAATCTAGTGGTCATAAATACCTTTATATGCTGGGTGTGGTGGTTCACGGTTGTAATCTTGGCGCTTTGAGAGGCCAAGAAAGGTGGATCATTTAAGATCAGGGACTCGAGATCAGCCTGGCCAACATGCGGGAAATTCATCTTTACTAAACAGACAAGAAAAATTAGCCAAGCATGCCGGCATGCACCTGTAGTCCTAGCTACTTGGGAGGCTGAGGCAGGAGAAGCACTTAAAGCCAGGAGGCAGAGGTTGCACTGAGCCGAGATCATGCCACTGCACTGCAGCCTGGGAGACAGAGAGAGACTCTGTTTCTAAATAAATAAATACATCTATATTCTTTTTTTTGTTACCCTCCACCCTTCCCTTCCTGGCCTCTGGTATCCACCATTCTATTCTCTACCTTCATGAGATCCACCTTTTATCTCCTGCATGTGGTGAGAAATGGGAATCTTTGTAATGACCTCCAGTTCCATCCATGTGGCTGCAAATGACAGGATGTTATTGTTTCTATGGATGAGTAGTCTCCACCGTGTGTGTGTACTACAGTTCTCTATCCATTCACCCACTGATAGGCAGGTAGGTTGACTCCACATCTTGGCTACTGTGAACAGTGCTGGAACAGTCATATGAGTGCAGATATCACTTCGATACACTGATGTCCTTTCCTTTGGATATAAACCCAGTAGTGAAATTGCTGGACACTATGAAAGTTCTCTTTTTTTTTTTTCTTTTTTGAGAAAGAGTTTCCCTCCTTAGTCCAAGCTGGAGTCAAAGTGGTGCGATCTTGGCTCATTGCAACCTCTGCTTCCTAGGTTCAAACGATTCTCCTGACTCAGCCTCCCTAATAGCTGTGATTACAGGTGCACGCCACCATGCCTGACTAATTCTTGTATTTTTTAGCACAGACGGGATATCCCAATTTTGGGCAGGCTGCTCTCAAACTCCTGACCTCAAGTGAGGTGCCTGCCTCGGTTTCCCAAAGTGCTGAAGTTACAGGCATAAGCCACTATGCCCAGCCTCCTTTTAGTTTTTTAAAGTTTTTCCATACTTTTCTCCATAATAGTTGTACTAATTTACATTCCTACCAACAGGGTACCAGGGTTCTCCTTTCTCTACCATCTTGCCAGCATTTGTTTTGCCTGTCTTGCAGATAAAAGCCATTTTACTTTATTTATTTATTTATTTATTTATGTTGAGATGGAGTTTCACTCATAGTCGCCCAGGCTGGAGTGCAAGGGTGTGATCTCGGCTCACTGCAACCTCTGCCTCCCGCGTTCAACTGATTCTCCTGCCTCAGCCTCCAAAGTAGCTGGGATTACAGGCATGTGCCACCACGCCTAGCTAATTTTTGTATGTTTAGTAGAGAGGGAGTTTCTCCATGTTGGTCAGGCTGGTCTCCCGACCTCAGGTGATCCGCCCACCTCCGCCTCCCAAAGTGCTGGAATTACAGGCGTGAGCCACCGGCCTAAAAGGCATTTTAATGGGATGAGATGAAAACTCATCGCGATTGTAATTTACATTTCTGTGATGATGAGTGATGCTGAGCACTTTTTCATATACGTGATCGCCATTTCTATGTTTTGTTTGTGGAGAAATGTCTCCTCATGTCTTTTGCTCGTTTTTTAATTAAATTGTTTTATTGAGTTGTTTGAGCTTCTTATATTTCCAGTTATTAATCCCATCTCAGATGAATAGTTTGCAAATATTTGCTCCTATTTTGTGGGTTGTCTCTTCACTTTGTTGGTTTATCTTTGGTGGTGCAGAAGTTGCTTGGTTTGATGTAATCCTAATGGTCTATTTTTTGCTTTGATTACTTGTGTTTTGAAGGTTTTAAACAAAATGTCTTTCGTCAGACAAATGTCTTCCCCATTATTTTCTTCTACATGTTTCATAGGTTCAGGCCTTAGACTCATGTTTTTAATCCATTTTCATTTGATTTTTGTGTAAGGTGACAGGTATAGATGCAGTTTTATTCCTCTGCATGTAGATATCCAGTTTTCCCCACACCATTTATTGAAGACTGTCCTTTCTTGATTGTAAGTTCTCGGCACCTTTGTCAAAGTCCATTAAATGGGCTGGGCATGGTGGCTCACACCTGCAATTCCAGCACTTTGGGAGGCCGAGGCGGGTGGATCACCTAAAGCCAGGAGTTCAAGACCAGGCTGGCCAACAGAGTGAAACCTCGTCTCTACTAAAAATACAAAAATTAGCTGAGCATGGTGATCAGTGCCTGTAATACCACTACTCAGGAGTTTGAAGCAAGAGAATTTCTTGAATCCAGGAAGTGGAGGTTGCATTGAGCTGAGATTGCACCTCTACACTCCAGCCTGCATGACAGAGCAAGATTCCATCACACACACACAAAAGAAAGCCATTGGATGTAAATGCATGGATTATATCTGTGTTCTCCATTCTGTTCCATTTTTTATGTGCCTTTCTTTATGCCAATGTCATGCTGTTTTGCTTACTACAGCTCTGTAACATATTTCTAAGTCAGGTAGTGTGATGCTCCTGTTTTCTCTTTATACCTTCAAGTCTCAAGACAGTGGGCATCGCACACAAAAATTATGGAGAAAAGGATCCCAAGACTCCCAGGGTCCAACATTAGATAACAGAGTGTTGGCCATGAACCAACCTCAAAGATTTCCATTGAGTAGAGGACAAGCACCCTCATTTCCTCACATCTCTCCTGTCCCGTGTTCTAGGAAACCCTTCAAGTAGTTGGCCTTCACCCACAGAACCAAGCTCCAAATCTGGTGAGTAAAGGACCCCTCTTATCTCTGCTTTTGGAAACCTGGGGAGGTGGAAGCCTTGGATGCAAGTGTTGGCTCAAACCTCCCAGCTCTGTGAATGAGGGCCTGTCTTCCACCATCTCTGAACTCCAGACACTCCAACAGTGAAAGGGATCTAGGGCCACCAAAGGGCTCAGCGAAGTCTCTTTACCTTTAATTTCCTGCAGGTGAGACCTCCTACAAGCTAGAAGAATAATTGCCAATCTGACATCCTTCTCAGGAAACATGCAGTGTTTTTTCTGCCTGCATTCCTAACTGGAGGATAAATTCCCGGGGGCTTGAGAGAGGGAAGGGAAGGGAACATCTGATGAGGGTGGGTGTTTTAGAGAAGTTCCACTTGCCAAGGAATGAATTACTGTTGGTCATCAGGCAACCCTGGCTGACTCAGCAGAGCAAGAGCCTTGCCGTAACAGAGAACAGAGCTCATGCACGCACACTTCGACTCACTGACTCATTCAGCCACAGCCCCATGCTCAGGCTGTGCAGTGTGGAAGCTTTTCCTATTGTTGCCATAACAAATTTCCACAAGATTCGTGGGTGAAAACAAAACGGTTATTTAATTATCTTACAGTGCTGTAGCTCAAAGCATGACGTGCATGTCACTGGGCTAAAATCAAGGTGACAGCAAGGCTGCCTTCCCTCTGAGGGTTCCAGGCAAGAATCTGCTTCTCACTTTTCTCAGCTTCTAGAGGCTCCCATGTTCCTTGGCTCCTGGTACCCTTCCTCCTTCCTCAAAGCCCACAAAGACTGGTCACATCTCACATGGCATCACTCAGACCCTTCTTCCTTACCACACCTCTTTCTCTGAATGCTGCTCTCCCTTCTTCCCCTTCTTTTGAAAACTTGGGGATTCTATTGGGTTCACCAAGATGAAAATCCATCATAATCTCCCGGAAATCATCCAGGATACCCTCCTTTTAAGTTCAGCTGACTAGCAACCATAATTCCATCTGCAATCTTCATTCCTCCTTTCATGTAAAATAACATATTCACAAGCTATGGAGGCTAGGACATGGACATTTTTGGGGTGGGACAACATTCTCCTGCCTTCCACAAACAGTGAACAAGATGCATTTGGCCTCTGTTCTTGGGACACTGATCTTGCAGATGGTTAAATGGGAGGGCAGAAAATGTAGGCACAAGGGGACCAATAAATGAATGATCTATTGAGAAGCATCTGTGCATGAAATCTATTTATTTATGTATTTACCTACTTGTTTATTGAGACGGAGCCTTGCTCTGTCGTCCAGGCTAGAGTGCGGTGGCATGATCTCGGCTCACTGCAACCTCCACCTCCTGGGCTGAACGGATCTCCTCCCTCAGCCTCTCCAGTAGCTGGGATTACAGACCACAACCACCACGCCCGGCTAACTCTTTTTGCATATTTTCTGTAGAGAGGATGTTTCACCATGTTGGCCAGGCTGGTCTCAAATTCCCAACCTCAGGTGATCCAATAGCCTCTGCCTCCCAACACGCTGGGATAAGAGGCATGAGCCACGGGGCCAAGCCAAATTTTCAAATCAATAATAGATAATGCTGAGTGTATGATTTCAGGTGACAGAGAAGTTCTCACTAATCAGATATTTGTGACATTAATGAAAAACACGGATTGAACCCCTGAAAGATGGGCGGAAGGATTTTGCACACACAGCTGTCAGCCGTGAAGGCACAAAGGTGAAAATAATCTGATGTTGAAGGAAGAGGCTCTGCCTCAAATGCTGGGAATGACGTGGGGAGAATGACAAGACGACTGTAGAGAGACGGAGAGCACACTGGGTACACAGGAAACTAAGGAGCAACAAGGAGTGTGTGTTTGACACTCACAGCCATTGGACTCACCTCGGGGTAACCAGGAATCCCTACATGATTAATATGACTGACATGAAAATAAGGGAGGCCCAGGTGCGTAACTGGAATCTAGGAGACCGTGGAAAAGGCAATTCTGCCGCCCCACTGGTGAAATGTGGTGCTGATTTAGACACTAAATGAATGAAGTAGATGGATATAAGATATGTTTGTGAGGTAGAATCATTGGCTGGAAAGGCTTGCTGGGTTTAATTTTTCCTGGTAGTTTAATCCTCGCTTCACTAACTTATTTCTGAGATTTATTTCTCCTGCATCTAAATCAATACCTGGCAGAGGAGGGAGAGCTAGATGAGGGGTGGTGCAAATGAAGGGACCTAGTATAGCATAATATACAAGGCTGTGAACGGTGGCTCACGCCTGTAACCCAGCACTTCAGGAGGCCAACGCGGGTGGATCACATGAAGTCAGGAGTTCGAGACCAGCCTGGCCAACATGGAGAAACCCTATCTCTACTAAAAATACAAAAATTAAACAGGCATGATGGTGGTGCATGACTGTAATCCCAGCTACTCTGGAGGAGGAAGCAGGAGAATGACTTCAGCCCTGGAGGCAGAGGTTGCAGTGAGTGGAGATCGCATCACTGCACACCAGCCTGGGCTACACAGGGATACTCTGTCTCAAAAAATAAAAATAAAAAATACATAAATATAATAATATACACAAATGATGCAGGCACCTGAATTCCAATCATCATTTTTCTATTCCTCTATAATTACTTCTTTGATCCTTTATCTTATCCATTAGAAAATCAGCCTAAAACCTCTTCCATATTTGGCTTTCTGTGAACATGAGATCATATGGAAAATATGAAAGCCCCCTGAACCCACCAGCACAGGCCCTGAAATAGGGAAAGTGCTCTGTTCATCACAAGAAACTTTCCCCCTCACCCAAATCCCCCACCTCACCCCTACTTCCAATCACCTGTGGAGATACAGATAGATCATGGGGAGGTAAACGCTAATACTCCTTGGAGTGAGTTCAGATCTTGGAATCAGAGATCAGCACCAGCACTAGCTCCTGCTCCCCTTTCCTACTAATTCACAGGAGGACAGGTGGTTTTGAAGCAATAGATGGTGGAGGGGGTGGTCTTTCCCCCAGCCTCTCAGGTGGAACAGCAGCCTAACATGTGTCTCGCGAGATCACAAAGAGTAGCACGTTTCACATGGGCTTCATCATTATTTCCTGGCTGTTTGACATAAGAGAATTCTACTTTGCTTTTTTGATCTTGATTTCACTTTTGTGTCCTTTTCTTGGAGAATGTAATTTGAGTCAAGAGGGTTGTGGATGTAGAAACTGTAAAGCACATTCACTGTGTATCAATCCCAGTCCAGTCTTTCCAGAGAAGACTCTAAACACCTGCTGTACTGCACCTGGGCCTATGCCAATTTCTATCACTCACCGTCACTCCAGGGAGACAGAACACACAGAGAATACGTTACATAGGCAGGTTCATTACTAACAGATAAGCAGCGAGTGACAACAGAAGCCTACATTTCAACGTGAGCCAGTCCCTCAAGGCTCAGAAAAGCTGCTCGGGACATATGGAGTCACCTCATTTGCAGTGTATCTGGGGGAAGCCAGAAAATAGCCCAGCCTGGGTTTTGTACCCTGAAGCCACAGGAAGCACTCAGCTAAAGCACTGCATGACGTCCTCCTCCAGGAAGAACAGGAAGACAGCACAGGCTGTTCTGAGACGTTCCTCCTGATCTCAGGACGTTGCTGTCTTAGTCCATTTTTGTTGCTATAAAAGAACACTTGAGCCTGGGTTACTTCTTTTTTTTTTTTTTTTTTTTTTGTATAGTGCTTCTGATGAGCTTTTTTTTAAAATTTTTATTATTATTATACTTTAAGTTTTAGGGTACATGTGCACAATGTGCAGGTTAGTTACATATGTATACATGTGCCATGCTGGTGTGCTGCACCCATCAACTCGTCATTTAGCATTAGGTATATCTCCTAATGCTATCCCTCCCCCCTCCCCCCACCCCACAACAGTCCCCAGAGTGTGATGTTCCCCTTCCTGTGTCCATGTGTTCTCATTGTTCAATTCCCACCTATAAGTGAGAACATGCGGTGTTTGGATTTTTGTCCTTGTGATAGTCTACTGAGAATGATGATTTCCAATTTCATCCATGTCCCTGCAAAGGACATGAACTCATCATTTTTTATGGCTGCATAGTATTCCATGGTGTATATGTGCCACATTTTCTTCATCCAGTCTATCATTGTTGGACATTTGGGTTGGTTCCAAGTCTTTGCTATTGTGAATAGTGCCACAATAAACATACGTGTCCATGTGTCTTTATAGCAGCATGATTTATAGTCCTTTGGGTTTATACCCAGTAATGGGATGGCTGGGTCAAATGGTATTTCAAGCTCTAGATCCCTGAGGAATCGCCACACTGACTTCCACAATGGTTGAACTAGTTTACAGTCCCACCAACAGTGTAAAAGTGTTCCTATTTCTCCACATCCTCTCCAGCACCTGTTGTTTCCCGACTTTTTAATGATCGCCATTCTAACTGGTGTGAGATGGTATCTCATTGTGGTTTTGATTTGCATTTCTCTGATGGCCAGTCATGGTGAGCATTTTTTCATGTGTTTTTTGGCTGCATAAATGTCTTCTTTTGAGAAGTGTCTGTTCATGTCCTTTGCCCACTTTTTGATAGGATTGTTTGTTTTTTTCTTGTAAATTTGTTTGAGTTCATTGTAGATTCTGGATATTAGCCCTTTGTCAGATGAGTAGGTTGCGAAAATTTTCTCCCATTTTGTAGGTTGTCTGTTCACTCTGATGGTAGTTTCTTTTGCTGTGCAGAAGCTCTTTAGTTTAATTAGATCCCGTTTGTCAATTTTGGCTTTTGTTGCCGTTGCTTTTGGTGTTTTAGACATGAAGTCCTTGTCCATGCCTATGTCCTGAATGGTAATGCCTAGGTTTTCTTCTAGGGTTTTTATGGTTTTAGGTCTAACGTTTAAGTCTTTAATCCATCTCAAATTAATTTTTGTATAAGGTGTAAGGAAGGGATCCAGTTTCAGCTTTCTACCTATGGCTAGCCAGTTTTCCCAGCACCATTTATTAAATAGGGAATCCTTTCCCCATTGCTTGTTTTTCTCAGGTTTGTCAAAGATCACATAGTTGTAGATATGTGGCATTATTTCTGAGGGCTCTATTCTGTTCCATTGATCTATATCTCTGTTTTGGTACCAGTACCATGCTGTTTTGGTTACTGTAGCCTTGTAGTATAGTTTGAAGTCAGGCAGCATGATGCCTCCAGCTTTGTTCTTTTGGCTTAGGATTGACTTGGCAATGCAGGCTCTTTTTTGATTCCATATGAACTTTAAGGTAGTTTTTTCCAATTCTGTGAAGAAAGTCATTGGTAGCTTGATGGGGATGGCATTGAATCTATAAATTACCTTGGGCAGTATGGCCATTTTCACGATCTTGATTCTTCCTACCCATGAGCATGGAATGTTCTTCCATTTGTTTGTATCCTCTTTTATTTCATTGAGCAGTGGTTTGTAGTTCTCCTTGAAGAGGTCCTTCATATCCCTTGTAAGTTGGATTCCTAGGTATTTTATTCTCTTTGAAGCAATTGTGAATGGGAGTTCACTCATGATTTGGCTCTCTGTTTGTCTGTTATTGGTGTATAAGAATGCTTGTGATTTTTGTACATTGATTCTGTATCCTGAGACTTTGTAGAAGCTGCTTATCAGCTTAAGGAGATTTTGGGCTGAGACAATGGGGTTTTCTATATATACAATCATGTCATCTGCAAACAGGGACAATTTGACTTCCTCTTTTCCTAATTGAATACCCTTTATTTCCTTCTCCTGCCTAATTGCCCTGGCCAGAACTTCCAACACTATGTTGAATAGGAGTGGTGAAAGAGGGCATCCCTGTCTTGTGCCAGTTTTCAAAGGGAATGCTTCCAGTTTTTGCCCATTCAGTATGATACTGGCTGTGGGTTTGTTATAGATGGCTCTTATTATTTTGAGATACGTCCCATCAATGCCTAATTTATTGAGAGTTTTTAGCATGAAGCGTTGTTGAATTTTGTCAAAGGCCTTTTCTGCATCTATTGAGATAGTCGTCCGGTTTTTGTCTTTGGTTCTGTTTATATGATGGATTACATTTATTGATTTGCATATATTGAACCAGCCTTGCATCCCAGAGCCTGGGCAACTTCTAGAGAAAACAGATTTGTTTGCCTCACAGTTCTGCAGGCTGTACTGGAAGCATGGCACCAGCATCTGTTTCCTGTGACGGCCTCAGGCTGCTCCCACTCTGGCAGAAGGGAAGGAGGGTCTGTCTGTGCAGAGACCACAGAGATCACATGGCAAGAGAGGGAGCAAGGGGGAGGGCGAGCGATGGAGCTTCCAAGCTCTTTTTAACAACCAGCCCTCCGGGAACTAATAGAGGGGGAACTTGCTAACCCCATCATGTGGGGCAGCATTAATCTATTCATGATGGATCCACCTCCATGACTCAAACACCTTCCCATAGGCCCAAACTTCCACACTGGGGGTTAAATTTCAATATTTCAGTGTGAGGTTTCAAAGGGTCAAACATCTAAACTAAAGCAGCTGTATCCTCAGCATGTTCTATGGTTTCTATGAGAGCTGTAACTGAGAAAGCAGGAGAAAGCTGGGTCTCCCGCCATCAGGCTGCTTGTCCTAAGGAGATGTTCCATGTGGTTACCTGTCAATCAAGAAATGAGACAATCCATAAAGAGGAACTGCTATGATTAGCTTCTTATTGGATTCCCATCTTCCTCCAGGTATCTGCAGACACCTGCATGTTCTGATTGGGACCTCAGTGGTCATCTTCCTCTTCATCCTCCTCCTCTTCTTTCTCCTTTATCGCTGGTGCTCCAACAAAAAGAGTAAGTCTCACGAAGCAGAGGCCAGAGAGCTCAGGGCCATGTGGGGAAGCAGGATGGGAGCACGCGGGTGTGTGTTCCTCACTGGCAGGATGGTCCCTGGCCCAAGGGAGGAGCCACAGAGGCAGGGCTTTCTAGAGAGAGCACCAGACAACCTGCCCCTGCCTTCAGCTCACAGACCATTGCCTGGTTCTGAACTGTATCCTCACATCCCCTGCAGCTACTGACATCCAGAAGCTTCCATGACAGGCAGAAAGTGGGAGACAGAATCAATGGGATGCCAATTGAGAGCACTTCATGGGATGGGGTCTTGAACTCAGAGAGATAGAATGTCTGAGTCTGGATGTTGGCAGCTGAAGAGCCTCAGGCACCTACAGCCTCCCCCTGTGGGTTGGTGTCTGCCCATGAAATGAGGACCCAGAAGGGCCCTCCAAGCGGTTTTGATGACTTCCGTCTCCTACAGATGCTGCTGTAATGGACCAAGAGCCTGCGGGGGACAGAACAGTGAATAGGCAGGTAGGTCCTCCTCGGCCCAGCCTCACGGATACAGTCTTATCCCTAATAGTCCTGAAAAATGTGAGCACCCTCCCTCACTCAGCATTTCCCTCTCTCCAGGACTCTGATGAACAAGACCCTCAGGAGGTGACGTACGCACAGTTGGATCACTGCGTTTTCATACAGAGAAAAATCAGTCGCCCTTCTCAGAGGCCCAAGACACCCCTAACAGATACCAGCGTGTACACGGAACTTCCAAATGCTGAGCCCAGATCCAAAGTTGTCTCCTGCCCACGAGCACCACAGTCAGGTCTTGAGGGGGTTTTCTAGGGAGACAACAGCCCTGTCTCAAAACCAGGTTGCCAGATCCAATGAACCAGCAGCTGGAATCTGAAGGCATCAGTCTGCATCTTAGGGGATCGCTCTTCCTCACACCACGAATCTGAACATGCCTCTCTCTTGCTTACAAATGCCTAAGGTCGCCACTGCCTGCTGCAGAGAAAACACACTCCTTTGCTTAGCCCACAAGTATCTATTTCACTTGACCCCTGCCCACCTCTCCAACCTAACTGGCTTACTTCCTAGTCCTACTTGAGGCTGCAATCACACTGAGGAACTCACAATTCCAAACATACAAGAGGCTCCCTCTTAACACGGCACTTACACACTTGCTGTTCCACCTTCCCTCATGCTGTTCCACCTCCCCTCAGACTATCTTTCAGCCTTCTGTCATCAGTAAAATTTATAAATTTTTTTTATAACTTCAGTGTAGCTCTCTCCTCTTCAAATAAACATGTCTGCCCTCATGGTTTCGATAATGTGACTCTTTATTCGCCAAAAGTTTCCAGTGTTATCATTACTATGTCCATATAACCTGATATGTTCTCTACTGGGTTCTCAGCCCTGGACTCTGAGCTTCTGGAAGCAGGGTGGAGCCTCATTTGTCTCTGGGACTCCAATTTCCATCCAAAGATGCAGCACATAGGAGGTTCCAAGGATCGTGAATCACATGAACAAGTGATATTCTTACTCTCTGCAGACCTGGAAAGCTGGCAGAGTCATTCCAAGATGAAACATTTGTAGAGTCATAGGCCTTGTTAGTCTCATCTCCACAGGGACACATGTCAACACATCATCTTTCATACTATAAATATACAGTCGCTCCTCCATATCTGTGGGGTTTACAGGTGTTTATTGAACCAAATATAAATCAAAAATATTCAGAGAAAAAATCCACAAAGTTCCAAAAAGCAAAAATACTATATTGTGTGGACACAAGTGAGGTGGTGTGTAGGCTGTATCAGGAATTATAAGTAATCTAGAGATGATTTCATGTATACAGGAGGATGTGCATGGGTTATATGCAAACGCTGTGCCATTTCATGCAACAGGCTTGAGCATCTGCAGATTTTGGTGTCTGGTAGGGAGGGGGGTTTCCTGGAACCAATCACCCATGAATAGTGAAGGACAACTGTATATAATTTTCATTCATCAATTTTATAAATAAATCATCAAAATGTATGATAATAAGATAAAAAATTAGCAGTGTTTTTATGGTGTGAAAATAAGCTTAGATTTATTTTTTCCTGCTTGTAACCCTCTGGTCCAATGTTATTTACTGAGAAGACATTCTATTCCACCTTAATCCGCATGGCAGCCTCTGTCAACTATAAAAGGACTGTGTGTACACAGATGTATTTTACACACTCTTTTCTGCTCAGTGGCTCTCTGTGTCCACTCTCATGAGGATGCTGCACTTTATGTGGCCTTATAGAACCCCTTAAAATTTGGCAGCCTGAATCCTCTAATTTCTCCTTCCTCTTTAAGATTGCCATTATTATTATTATTGGCTATTTGCTTTTCCATGTAAATTTGTAATCATTTTTCTCATTTCCACCAAAAACAATGCTTGTAATTTTGTTGTGACTCCCTTACATCTACAGGTAAGTTCTGTCCTATAGAAACATAATGCAAACCACATGCATTCTTTCAAACTTGCTAGTATCCAAATTAAAAAGCTAACAAGAAACAGATAAAATTAATTTAAGTTAACCCAATGGACCCAAAATATTATTAACCCAACAGACCCAAAATATTAACCTAATAGATCCAAAATATTATTTTATTATACAAGTAGACTCAAAATATTATCATTTCAACATGTAATCATGTGTCATCTTGGAAAACATCAGATCCCTGTCTAGGTGGGCAAAGATTTTTCTTCGTAATATCTCATTTCCACATTTCCACTTGGCACAGAAACTGCCCCCAAGGCTCAGGATACTAAGATGCAGTAGGAATGGGTAGATGTATCTGGAGGAAAGTGACTGAATGAAATTGAGACATCAGAGTCTGGGAAACTCACTAGAACTACAGGGACAGTGTGGGGGAGGGAATTGGGAGATGTTGATCAAAGGATACAAACTATCAGGTATTCAGGAGGAATGGGTCTGAAGATCTCTTGTACAGCTTTGCCACTATGGTTGACAATACTGTACTCTATACTTGAAATTTACCAGGAAAGTAGATTTTTTTTTTTAAATATGGAACACTTCACGAATTTGCGTGTCATTCTTGCGCAGGGGCCATGCTAGTTTTCTCTGTATCGTTCCAATTTTAGTATATGTGCTGCCGAGGCAAGCATGGGAGAGTAGATTTTTTTTTTTTTTTTTTTTTTTTTTGAGCTGGAGTCTTGCTCTGTCACCCAGGCTGGAGTGCAGTGGCGCGATCTCGGCTCACCGCAAGCTCCGCCTCCTGGGTTCACGCCATTCTCCTGCCTCAGCCTCCCGAGTAGCTGGGACTACAGGCGCCCGCCACCACGCCCTGCTAATTTTTTGTATTTTTAGTAGAGACGGGGTTTCACTGTGTTAGCCAGGATGGTCTCGATCTCCTGACCTCGTGATCCGCCTGCCTCGGCCTCCCAAAGTACTGGGATTACAGGCATGAGCCACCACGCCCGGCTGGGAGAGTAGATCTTAAGGGTCCTCACCACAAAAAAAAAAAAAAGAAAGAAAGAAAAAGAAACCATAGGCCGGGCGCGGTGGCTCACGCCTGTAATCCCAGCACTTTGGGAGGCCAAGACGGGCAGATCACTTGAGGTCAGGAGTTCAAGACCAGCATGGCCAACATGGTGAAACCCTGTCTCTACTAAAAATGCAAACATTAGCCAGGCGTGGTGACACAAGCCTGTAATCCCAGCTACTCAGGAGGCTGAGGCACGAGAATTGCTGGAACCTGGGAGCGGAGGTTGCAGTGAGCCAAGATGGCACCACTGCACTCTAGCCTGGGGGACAGAGTAAGACTTCCTCTCAAAAAAAAAAAAAAAAAAAAAACAATAACCCTGCGAGATGATGGATATAACTAGCTTGACTATGATGATCATGTCACCATGTATACATACATCAAAACATCAAGTGTAATACACCTTAAATATATACAATTTCCATTTGTCAATCATATCTCAATAAAGCTAAAAGAAACCTCTAAGTTTCAACTTTATTTTCAGAAAGCTGTGCCATGCTTACCTCAGTGCCTAAGTATACTCTAATTCATGGAAATGGCCTTTAAAACTGCAGAGAGTGGCTGGGTGCAGTGGCTCACGCCTATAATCCCAGCACTTTGGGAGGCGGAGGTGGGCAGATCACGAGGTCAGGAGTTCGAGATCAGCCTGGCCAACATGGTGAAACTCTGTCTCTACTAAAAATACAAAAAATAGCTGGGCATGGTGGCAGGTGCCTGTAAATCTGAGATACTCAGGAGGCTGAGACAGGAGAATCGTTTGAACTGGGGAGGCAGAGGTTGCAGTGAGCCGAGATCCTGCCATTGCACTCCAGCCTGGGCGACAGGGTGAGACTCCATCTCAAAAAAAAAAAAAATACTGCAGAGAGTTAAGGCCCTCACTGGACACTCTCCGGTACCTCTGAGGTCAGTGGATAGAGAAGCAGCTCCCCTTCTTCTTCCTCGAAACAAAGGCCTCCTTCCTTCTTAGGTGTTTGAGACAAATTCTCCACACAGGTGCAGCTGAGTGCTGTAAAGTCCCACTGAGAGTTGAAGGTCCCCACTGCCAGTCACAGTTCGGTCCCACTGAGGGTTGAAGGTCCCCACTGCCAGTCACAGTTTGGTCCCATTGAGGGTTGAGAGTCTCCACTGCCAGTCACAGTTTGGTCCCATTGAGGGTTGAGAGTCTCCACTGCCAGTCAGTTTGGGCTTATTAGGGTTTATGCTGTGCACGGAGAATGGAACCTACCAATCAACTCTTAGTGACCAGTTAGACAGATTCAAGGCAAATTTCCCTGCTGGGAAATCCCAAATCCCAAAATATGCAGAGACCAATAGATGCCTCAATTCTTCCGTGTCTCCGTCTAAATCCTTGGGTCACTGTGACTCCTGTAGTTATGTGGCTTGTAATTCCTTGGGCCGTAGAATGGCTATGATAGGCCCTGTGCTAAGGGGACTGGTGACAGTTGAGACAGGAACATGGAAGCTATAGTAGTCAGGGTTCTCCAGAAAAAAAAATAATCAACACTAATAATGATAGATATATAGATAATGATTGATAGACAAATAATGATAGATATATAATGATATCACAAATAATGATAGACATATAGTTGGATAATGACAGATATATAATGATTGATACACAGATAGGGTATTTATATATTGGCTTATGCAACTATGTAGACTGACAGGTCCCATGATCTGCCATCTGCAAGCTGGAGACCCAGGGGAGTCCACGTGTAGTTCCAGTCTACGTGCAAAAGTCTGAGAACCAGTAGAGTTAGTGGTATACGTAACAGTCCAAAAGCTAGCAGGCTCATGCCGGGCATGATGGCTCACGCCTGTAATCCCAACACTTTGGGAGACCAAGGCAGGCAGATCACCTGAGGTCAGAGTTCAAGACCAGCCCGGCCAACATGGTGAAACCCCATCTTTACTAAAAATACAAAAATTAGCCGGGCATAGTGGCATTCGCTTGTAATCCCAGCTACTCAGAGGCTGAGGTACGAGAATTGCTTGAACCCAAGAGGTGAAGGTTGCAGTGAGCCGAGATCATGCCACAGCACTCCAGCCTGGGTGACAGAGTGAGACTCTATCTCAAAAAAACAAACAAACAAAAAAAGCTGGCAGGCTTAACATCTAAAGAGTCAATGTTTTAGTGAGAGTTCAAGAGCCAGAAAAGACTGATGTCCAGGCAAAAGGAACTTCATCTTACATTACCAGTTCAATGTTTTGTTCTATTCAGGTCCCACCTGATTGAATGAGGCCGACTCACATTAGGGAGAGCAATCTGCTTTATAAATTACACTAATTCCATTGATAATCTCATTCAGCAACACCCCCACAGACACACACAGAATAATGTTTAACCAAATATCTCAGCACCCCATGGCTACGTTACCATTCCTGTTCCACAAAAGGAGGAAACAAAAGAACAAAACCACACCAAATGTTGTGGTAAGTTGACAAAATCTGTTCCAGCCCATTAGTAAATATTGGCCACTGAAGTTCCTGAAATTCAACAATTAGTAAGTATCTCTCTCCCAATAGAAAGCCACGTCATTTGTAAACCATAACAATAGCTTTTGTTTTTTTGAGACACAGTCTCGCTCTGTGTTGCCCAGGCTGGAGTGCAGTGATCTTGGCTCACTGCAACCTCTGCCTCCTGGGTTCAAGTGGCTCTCCTGCCTCAGCCTTCCGAGTAGCTGGAATTACAGGCACCCGCCACCACACCCAAGTAATTTTTTATATTTTTAGTAGAGACTGGGTTTCACCACATTGACCAGGCTGGTCTTAAATTCCTGAACTCAAGTGATTCACCTGCCTTGGCCTCCCAAAGTGCTGGGATTACAGGCATGAGCTACTGCACCCAGCCAACAATAGTATTTTTAATTAGGTCATCCTGCCTTTACAATCTCTGCATTTTAAATACTCAACTAAGAGTACAGCCATTATTTGTCTTTCACCCAAAGTCCCATTCAAGTGAGAACAAAGGAATGAATAAATAAGGCATAAGTAACAAAACAACAAAAAAAGAAAATTAGAATGCGGTCAATTTCATGCAATCATCAACACCAAATTTCCAGAACGTAGTATTTCCAAATTTCCCGAACGTAAATATGTATGTGGAAATTAACAAAATGTGGCAAAACAAAAGGTCACTTAAATTTGCACAAATGAAACAGTCAACATGGAAGCTGATCGGCTTTCTGAAATATGGGACAAGCTCAGGACTTCAAAATACTTCGGCGTTGGAAGGGCTAAGTTATGATGTATTAAAATGAAAATAAAGTGGGGCGCGGTGGCTCACGCCTGTAATCCCAGCACTTTGGGGGACCGAAGTGGGTGGATCACGAGGTCAGGAGATCGAGACCATCCTGGCTAACACGGTGAAACCCCGTTTCTACTGAAAATACAAAAAAAATTAGCCGGGCGTGGTGGCGGATGCCTGTAGTCCCAGCTACTCGGGAGGCTGAGGCAGGAGAATAGCATGAACCCAGGAAGTGGAGCTTGCAGTGAGCTGAGATCACGCCACTGCACTCCAGCCTGGGCGACAGAGCAAGACTCCGTCTCAAAAAAAAAAAAAGAATAAATAAAATAAAATAAAATAGTAGAAGGTTTAATTAGGAATATTTCACTCTCCATACCTGAAGAATTCGTGATAGCCAGGAGTCTACAATCAAAATAACATAAATAATAAGATAAAAATAAAATTAATTTGAAGCCATAAAAAAAGAATGAGTTCATATGTTTTGTGGAAACATGGATGGAGCTGGAGGCCATTATCCTTAGCAAACTATACAAGAACAGAACACCAAATACAGCAGGTTCTCACTTATAAGTGGAAGCTAAATAATAGAACTCATGAACACAAAAAAGGGAAAAACAGACAATGGGGTCTCCTTTAGGGTGGAGGGTGGGAGGCGGGAAAGGAGCAGGCAAAGTAACTATTAGGTACCAAGCTTATTACCTAGGTGATGAAATAATCTGTACAACAAACCCCCATGACACAAGTTTACCTGTATAACAAACCTTCCCATGTACCCTTGAACCTAAAATAAAAGTTAAAAAAATACTCAATGAGCAACAATGTACATTATTTGAGGATAATTATATTAAAAGCCCAGACTTCACCACTACACAAAATATCCACGTAATAAAATTTCACTTGCGCTCCTTAAATTTATACAAATAAACAAAAAAGTATAATAAAATAGTAGATTCTTTCTTTAGAGATGACAAATAGTGCCAGAGAAAATGCCTCCACACTCTGGCATTGAGATCATCTCCAGGATAAGGGTATACTGCATGCCTGGTCAAGTCCAAGTAAATATACTCAGACCATGAATCTCAGAGATGAAACATAGGTTCAGAACAGACAAAGCCACAGAGCTTTTGACTAATGGCCCAGTGAAGGCAATGTCTGCCTGTATGGTATCCACCACCTTATATTCTGTCCCAAGCCCGTCTATTTGGATGTAGCATCTGGTTCAAAGATGAATTTGAACACCATTAGACACTGGCTTAATGAAAATTCACTTCTCATTCGTTTCTCATCTGAAACATAAATAGAAATATAGGTCTTAGGCAGGAGGATTTCTTGATGCCAGAAGTTAGAGACTACCCTGGCCAACATAGAAAGACCCCATCTCTATTTAAAAAAATATACATATATATGTCTTCTCTTGGGCTCCACCCAAGAGCAACCTGGAACTAAGTTATTCGGCAACGAACTGTTCCACTTTGTTGTGAGGCAATAGATGTGGAAATTCCCTGACGAGGGGCTCTGTCCTCATACTTCCTGCGGAGCTTATTGTCGTAAGAATATCTGTCATCCTGCTAATGTGCATTGAAAGGAGAGCAACGGGGCTGAGGCCGTGTCAGCACGATGGACCCCAAACAGACCACCCTCCTGTGTCTTGGTGAGTTTCAGAGTAAAAGTGGGTTAGAGGGGAAGATAGAGAAATCCCAAAATAATCAGGGTGTCTCTTAACAGTGTGACTAGGAGATTTTAGTGGCTGCCAAGGAGATTCTGATCTCCTTAGTGGAAAGGCCGTCTTTGTCAATGTATCTATAACTTTGTCTCTACCCAAGCCCAAGCTAGCTTGTGGGGCTCAAGGTTTAATATTTGTATTAAACCTATAGTGTGTTATCTGGGATTCATGATGGTCCCAAGGTTCTTATCAAGGAGAGACTTAGAGGCTGGAATCTGAAAGGTAAAAATAAAGAATGAACCTCAAAACTGTGATTGTTGTGGAAGGAAAACATATGATAGAACCCCATATAGAAATATGGTTACTAGTATTTTGTTGAAGATTTTTGCATTTATGTTCAACAAAGATATTATCCAGAAGTTTTCTGTTTTTGTTGTATCTCTGCCACATTTTGTTATCAGGATAATGTTGGCCTCATAGAATGAGTTGGGGAGGAGTCCCTCCTCCAGGATTTTTTTCAATAGTTTCAGTAGGAATAATACTAGCTCTTCTTGGCCGGGCGCAGTGGCTCACACCTGCAATCCCAGCACTTTGGGAGGCCAAGGCAGGCGGATCACAAGGTCAGGAGATCAAAACCATCCTGGCCAACATGGTGAAACCCTGTCTCTACTAAAAATACAAAAAAATTAGCCAGGCGTGGTGGCGGGCGCCTGTAGTCCCAGCTACTCGTGCGGCTGAGGCAGGAGAATGGCATGAACCTGGGAGGCAGAGCTTGCAGTGAGCCAAGATCATGCCACTGCACTCCAGCTTGGGCGACACAGCGAGACTCTGTCTCAAAAAAAAAAAAAAATGCCAGCTCTTCTTTATATATCTGGTGGGATTGAGCTGTGAATCCATCTGGTACTGGTCTTTTTCTGGTCTGTCATTACAGAGGGTGATTTGTCGTAAAGGTTGGAAATGGAAGCTTGATTTTTCATAAATCTCTCTCTTCCAGTGCTCTGTCTGGGCCAGAGGATTCAGGCACAGGAAGGTAAGTGTCCTGTAAATCTCTCCCAGCCCCTTTAGACCCTCTTGGGAGCTCTAGGATAAAGAAATTGAAGAATAGCCTGAAGCACCATTCTTATTTTAATCCCCATTCTAGTTGTTTCTGCTGTGCTTCTCTTGCATAATTTCTATCTCACTTTGTTATCTCCAAACCCTTCAGACTCATTAATGCTCAGGCCTGGATTTATAGTTAGTCCTTGCCTGTGTTAGACTGTCCATGAAGGATCTGTAATTTACTGAATGCTCAAACTGCAAGAATGAGGAAGTCAGGAGTCATCTGCCCAATATCCTTCCTTATGCTGATTCTATTTTGTTTTAGCAACCCACTTCCTCCCGTCACTTCATTTAAAAGGATGCTGCCATAGTCTAACCCTACTGAACACTCTAGCATTCTGTAGTACTACTGCAGTACTAAGCATGAGGCAGTCTTAGTGTACTACTGAATATTCTGCCACCCCAACTACTACTGCCTTAGCCTCCTAATGGGTGTGAGCCCCACGTCCATCCATGTCTTCTCTCTTCCAGCTCCTTCTAAAGCCTGAATTATTTGTGTGTTGAACAATACTCATTCTTCCTATCCATGAGCATGGAATGTTTTTCCATTTGTTTGTGTCATCTATGATTTCTTTGACCAGTGTTTTGTAGTTCTCCTTGCAGAGATCTTTCACCTCCCTGGTTAGCTGTATTCCCAGGTATTTTATTCTTTTTGCAGTAATTGTGAATGGATTCTATTCTTGATTTGGCTCTCAGCTTAGATGTTTTTGGTGTATAGGAATGCTACTGATTTTTATATATTGATTTTGTATCCTGGAACTTTGCTAAAGTTGTTTATCAGATTAAGAAGTGTTTGGGCAGAGACTGTGGTTTTCTAGGTATAGAATCATATCACCTGCAAACAGGGATAGTTTGACTTCCTTTCTTCCTATTTGGATGCCTTTTATTTCTCTCTTGCCTGATTGCTCTAGCTAGGACCTCCAGTACTATGTTGAACAGAAGTAGTGAGAGACGGCATCCATGTCTTTTGCCAGTTTTCAAGGGGAATACTTCCAGCTTTTGCCCATTCAATATGATGTTGACTGTGAGTTTGTCATACATCATTCTTATTATTTTGAAATATGTTTCTTCAATGCCTAGTTTGTCGAGGTTTTTTAGCATAAAGGGATGTTGAATTTTATCAAAAGCTCTATTGAGAGGATTATGTGTGTGGGGAGGGTTGTTCTATTTATGTGATGAATCATATTTAAGATTTGTGTATATTGGCCGGGCACTGTGGCTCATGCCTGTAATCCCAGCACTTTGGGAAGCCAAGGCTTGTGGATCATGAGGTCAGGAGATCGACACCATCCTGGCTAACACGGTGAAACCTCGTCTATACTAAAAAACACAAAAAAATTAGCCAGGCGTGGTGGTGGGCACCTGTAGTCCCAGCTGCTCGGGAGGCTCAGGCAGGAGAATGGCGTGAATCCAGGAGGCGGAGCTTGCAGTGAGCCAAGTTCACGCCACTACACTCCAGCCTGGGCAACAGAGCGAGACTCCTATATCGAATCAACCTTGCATCCCAGAAATAAAGCCTACCTGATGGTGGTGGATTAGCTTTCTGATGTGCTGCTGGATAGTTTGCTAGTATTTTGTTGAGGATTTTTGCATTTATGTTCAACAAGGATATTGTCCTGAAGTTTTCTGGTTTTGTTGTGTCTCTGCCATGTTTTTGCATCAAGATGATGCTGGTCTCATAGAATGAGCTGGGGAGGCATTCCTCCTCCTGAATATTTTTGGAACGTTTCAGTAGGTATAGTACCAGCTCTTCTTTATATATCAGATGGGATTCAGCTGTGAGTCTGTCTGGTACTGGGCTTTTTCTGGTCTGTAGGATTTTTATTACTGATTCAATTTTGGAGCTCATTATTGGTCTGTTCATGTATTCAATTTATTCTTGGTTTGATCTCAGGAGGGTGTATGTGTCCAGGAATTTCTCCATTTATTCTGGATTTTCTAGTTTGTGTGCATAGAGGTGTTCATAATATTCTCTGATGATTGTATTTCTGTGGGGTGAGTGGTAATATACCCTTTGTTGTTTCTAATTGTGTTTATCCGGATCATCTCTCTTTTCTTCTTTATTAGTCTAACTAGTCATCTGTCTTACTAATTTTTTCAAAAATTCTACTCCTCGATTTGCTGATCTTCTGAATGCTTTTTCGTGTCTCAATCTCCTTCAGCTCAGCTCTGATTTTGGTTATTTCTTGTTTCCTATGAGCTTTGGGGTTGATTTCCTCTTGGTTCTCTTAGTTCCTCTTGTTATGATGTTAGGTTGTTAATTTGAACTTTTTCTAGCTTTTTGAAGTGGGAGTTTAGTGCTATAAACTTCCCCCTTAACACTGCCTTAGCTGTGTCCCAGAGATTCTGCTATATTTACCCAAAAATTCCAGAACAGACTGCTTAATTTCCATGCATTGTACAGTTTTGAGTGGTTTTCTTAGTATTTATTCCTATTTTTATTCCACTGTGCTCTGATTTCGCTTTTCTGGATTTGCTAAGGATTGTTTTTTTTTTTTTTGAAATGGAGTCTTGCTCTGTCGCCCAGGCTGGAGTGCAGTGGCGCAATCTAGGCTCACTGCAAGCTCCGCCTCCCAGGTTCACACCATTCTCCTGCCTCAGCCTCCTGAGTAGCTGAGACTACAGGTGCCCGCCACCCCGCCCGGCTAATTTTTTTTGTATTTTTAGTAAAGACGGGGTTTCACTGCGTTAGCCAGGATGGTCTCGATCTCCTGACCTCATGATCCGCCAGCCTTGGCTTCCCAAAGTGCTGGGATTACAGGTGTGAGCCACCGTGCCCAGCCTGCTAAGGATTGCTGTATGTCTGATTGTATGATTGACTTTAGAGTATGTGCCATGAGGCAATGAAAACAATGTAGATTCTGTTGTTTTGGGGGTGGAGAGTTCTGTAGATGTCTGTCAGGTCCATTTGATCCACTGCTGAGTTCAGGTCCTGAATATCTCTGTTTGCCTCAATGATCTAATACTGTCGGCGGGATGTTAAAGTCTCCCCCTATTATTGTGTGGTTGTCTAAGTCTCTTCGTTGGTCTCTCAGAACACGCTTTATGAATCCGGGTGCTTCCATGTTAGGTGCATATATATTTAGGATAGTTAGGTCTTCATGCTCTTTTTTTAATTTTTTTTTTCTTTTTCTTTTTGATTCAGCAGTTGGGCTATTACACACTCCTTAGCAGATTCCGACTTCCGTGGCCACTGTCCTGCTATGGTCTTCATGTTGAATTGAACCCTTTACCATGATTTAATGCCCTTCTTTGCCTTTTTTGATCTTTGTTGGTATAAAGTCTGTTTTGTCTGAAATTTTAATAGCAGCTCCTGCATTTTTTTTTTTTTTTGGCTTTCCATTTGCTTGGTAGATTTTTCTCCATTTCTTTACTTTGAGCCTATGGATGTCATTGCATATGAGATGGGTTTCTTATAGGCAGCATAATGTTGAGTCTTGCTTTTTTTTTTTTTTTTTTTTTTGAGATGGAGTCTCACTCTGTCACCCAGGCTGGAGTGCAGTGGTATGATCTTGACTCACTGCAACTTCTGCCTCCCAGGTTCAAATGATTCTCCTGCCTCAGCCTCCCAAATAGCTGGGATTACAGGTGTGTACCACCACGCCCAGCTATTTTTTTTTTTTATTAGAGATGGGATTTCATCACATTGGCCAGGCTAATGTCGAACTCCTGACCTCAAATGATCCACCCACCTCAGCCTCCCAAAGTGCCAGGGTTACAGGCGTGAGCCACTGCACCTGGCCTCTTGCTTCTTTATCCAACTTGCCACTCTCTGCATTTTAATTAGGACAATTAGTCCATTTACATTCAAAGTTAGCATTTACATGTGCAGATTTTTTCCTGTCATCATGTTGTTAGCTGGTTTGGTTATTATGCAGACTTGTTTGTGTGGTTGTTTTATAGTGTCACTGGTTTATGTACGTAAGTGTGTTTTCTATTGGCTGGTGATGGTCTTTTCTTTCCATATTTAGCGTTCCTCTTAGGACCTCTTGTAAGGCAGGCCTGATGGTAATAAATTCCCTCAGCATTTGCTTGTCTGTAAAGGATCTTATTTCTCCTTCACTTATGAAACTTAGTTTGGCTGGGAATGAGATTCTTGGTTGGAAATTCTTTTCATAAGAACATTAAATATAGGCCCCCAATCTCTTCTGGATTGTAGAGTTTCTGCTGAAAGGTCTGCTGTTAGCTCGATGGCATTCCCTTTGTAGGTGACCTGCCCCTTCTTTTTTGCTGCCTTTTCACATTTTTTTTTTTTTTTTTGAGACTGAGTCTTGCTCTGTTGCCCAGGCTGCCAGGCTGGAGTGCAATGGCGTGATCTCGGCTCACTGCAAGCTCCGCCTCCCGGATTCACGCCATTCTCCTGCCTCAGCCTCCCCAGTAGCTGGGACTACAGGTGCCCACCACCACGCCCAGCTAATTTTTTATATTTTTTTAGTAGAGATGGGGTTTCACCATGTTAGCCAGGATGGTCTCAATCTCCTGACCTCGTGATCCGCCCGCCTTGGTCTCCCAAAGTGCTGGGATTACAGGCGTGAGCCACCGCGCCCGGCCGACATTTCTTTCTTTCATTTCTACCTTGAAGAATCTGATGATTTTGTGTCTTGGGGATGCTCTTCTTGTGTAGTATTTTGCAGGGGTTCTCT
This sequence comes from Homo sapiens, assembly GCF_000001405.40. Classification (NCBI taxonomy): domain Eukaryota; kingdom Metazoa; phylum Chordata; class Mammalia; order Primates; family Hominidae; genus Homo; species Homo sapiens. Next base: position 31,909 of record NW_016107312.1, on the reverse strand, counting down.
GTTTCCTGCATTTGATTCTTGGCCTCTCTAGTGACGTTGGGGAAGTTTTCATGAACAATACACTGAAATATGTTTTCCATGTTCCTTGCTTTCTCCCCATCTCTTTCGGGGATGCCAATGGGCTATTTGGTCTCTTTTCATGATCCCATATTTCTTAGAGGTTTTGTTCATTAATTTTTATTCTTTTTCTTCATTTTTGTCTGACTGAATTAGTTCAGAGAGCCAGTATTCATGCTCTGAGATTCTTTCCTTATTTTGCTTTATTTTGCCATTAATACTTGTGATCGCATTATGAAATCTCGTAGTGTGTTTTTCAGCTCCATCAGATCCGTTTGGTTCTTTCAAAATGACCATCTCATAGATTAGCCCCTCTGTCATTTTATTGTAATCTTTAGGTTCCTTGCATTGGGTTTCAACTTTCTCCTGAATCTTGATGACCTTAATTTCTATCCATATTCTGAATTCTATTTCTGTCATTTCAGCCAGGTAAAGAGCCCTTGCTGGGAAGCTTGTGTGGTAATTTGGAGGAAGGAAGACACTGTTGCTTTTTGAGTTGATGGAGTTCTTGCTCAGTTCTTTCTCATCCATGTGGGCTAATGTTCCTTTGAGTGTGCTGCAATTTGAATTTTTTTCTTTTTTCTTTTAACCGTGATGTAATTTGAGCACAGTCAGTAGACTTCTTTTCTGGATGGTTTCAGAGGGCTGGGGCTTCGCACAGGGTCTTTATTTATAGCTAAATTCTTGTCCTTGGTTTCACAGGGAGGTATATTAGCGAGCATTTTTGGTGTTGAAGTTTGGGCTGCAATCCGGTAAATGATGCTTCAGCACAACGGCCAGTAGGTCATTCCTCATGATTGCCGCTGTGCTCCCTCTCACGCTCTGAAAGTGCGGGCTCCTCTCCCACCCAAGTGCTGGCTGCAGATCTGGGCTCGGCACTCCCAGGCTGCACATCACAGCTCTGGGGTGAGCTCAGACTTTATGTTCCCTCCGTGGCTTGGGGGCAGCAGGGGAAGGGACCTTAGCAGCGGTTGTGGCAGACGGCCTTTCACTTGTCCCTTGGAACTCCACCCCAGAGAGATGTGGAGCCACTATCAGTGCGATGAGCCAAGAGTGAGGCGACTGCACTGTGGGTCCAAGCTAGGGGCCCTGCCTAGTGATGAGCAGGGGGGACAGGTGGGTCACAGGGGTGACAGACTGGCCTCTTCTCCTTAGGGCAGTTTGCCGGAGGTGTGGTTGAAGCACTCAGAGTCTTTGCTCCTTCCCCAGTCTGAGGGCAGCAAGGCCAGTACCACCGCAGTGGCAGCGGCAGAGTGACCTTCCGTTGCCTCTGGGAGCTCCGCCACAGAGAAACGCAGACTCACAGCTGCTGGGAACGCTCCGCCAGAGGGTGGGGCTGTTGTGCCGCGGAATCAAGCTGGGGCTTGTTGAAGAGCAGGGGGTTGAGGGCTCACAGGGAGAGGAGACTGAGCTCCTCTCCGTATGGCGACTGCGGTGTGCTGGAAGCATGAATGAAGGCCGGGCGCGGTGGACTCACGCCCGGAATCCCAGCACTTTGGGAGGCCGAGGCGGGCGGATCACGAGGTCGGGAGATCGAGACCATCCTGGCTAATCTGGTGAAACCCCGTCTCTACTGAAAACACAAAAAATGAGCCGGGCGTGGTGGCGGGCGCCTGTAGTCCCAGCTACTCGGGAGGAGGATGAGGCTGAGGCAGGAGAATGGTGTGAACCCGGGAGGCGCAGCTTGCAGTGAGCCGAGATCGGGCCACTGCACTGCAGCGTGGGCGACAGAGCGAGACTCCGTCTCAAATAAATAAATAAATAAATAAATAAATAAATAAATAAATAAATAAATAAATTGAAGCATGAATGAAGGCCCCAGGCTCCTTGCTTCTTCCCCAGATCACGGGCAGCAGAGGCAGAACCCTTGCCATGGCAGTGGCAGAGGGGCTGTCAGTTGCCTCTGGGAGCCACTCCCCAGGGAAACACGAGCCACCACCAGTGAGTGTGCTGAGGGCGGGGCAGCTGCTCTGCACTCCCGAGCTGGGGGCTCTGCCTGGTAAAGTGGGGGTGGGAGCTCACGGGGAAGAGAGACTGGACTCCTCTCTGTCTGATGGCTGTGGCATAATGACCGGGCCCCCACACATGAAAAAGAATTCTGGGAACTCAAAAAGCCAGTGTGTCCCCACCATGGACCCCTTGGATTGTGTTTCAAATTTCTCCTCAATTTCGAAGAGCGTCCTGGCCATCCAGATTCTGAATTCTATAACCCTCGTTTCATTCATCTCAATGTAGCTAAGAACCAGATTTCTGGGGAACTATCGAGTTGCCAGAGTTCTTGTGTTGATTCTTTTTTTTTTTTCTTTTTTTTTTCTTTTTTGTGGCAGAGTCTTACTCTGTCGCCCAGGCTGGAGTGCAGTGGCACGATCTCAGCTCACTGCTGCAACCTTCACCTCCCGGGTTCAAGCGATTCTCCTGTCTCAGCCTCCTGAGTAGCTGGGATTACAGGTGTGTGCCACCACGCCCGGCTAATTTTTGTATGTTTAGTAGAGCCCGGGTTTTGTCACGTTGGTCAGGCTGGTCTCAAACTCTTGACCTCCGGTGATCTGCCCACTTCAGCCTCCCAAAGTGCTGGGATTACAGGTGTGAGCCACCGCGCCCGGCCTTGGTGTTGATTCTTTCTCTTGTGTGAGGGCTGGTGTTCCTTTAACTGTGATGTCGGTTGAGTACAGTCGCTTGGCTTCATTTCTGGGTGTTTTCAGATGCCAGGACTCTGCACAGGATCTTTATTTGTGGCTGAATTTTTCCCTTCATTGTATACTGGCAAAATTTTTCAGTGTTGTATTTTGAAGTGTGATCCAGTAGGTGGCACTTAAAAGGGTTGGCCAGCATACAGGATCTTAGCCACAAGGCTCTTTTGTAGTTTTGTTTCGTTTTTTGTTTCGTTTTTTGACACAGGGTCTTGTTCTGTCGCCCAGGCTGGAGCACAGTGGCACAATCTCGGCTCACTGCAGCCTCTACCTATCAGGCTAAGTGATCCTCCTGCCTCAGCCTCCTGAGTAGCTGGGACTACAAGCACGCAGCACCATAAAGAGAAAATTTTTGTAATTTTTTTTTTTTTTTTGTAGAGATGGGGTTTCACCATGTTTACCAGGCTGGTCTCAAACTCCTGGGCTCAAGCAATCTGCCTGCCTTGGCCCCCTAACTCTTGTATTTTGACAAAGTCGGCAGTAGTGCTCTGTGGTTGTGAGGAGGGGTGACTCCCTCGCCTGGTCCATTCTTGGGCCTTGGAGGAGCCTCCTACAGTCACTGGCTCTGCACCCACTGTTTCCTTTGTTAGGATTGTTCTGCCCACGGGGCTCCCTCAGGCAGGGCATGGTGGGCAGACAGGCTGTATCCTTCCCCGGCCAGCCCTATGGAGGGAGGACCACCCCGCACCTCTGCAGGCTGATGAAATCAGGTGTTTCACCCCTCTGAACGTTCTGAGAATGAGGGCTCCTCACGGCTTGGTCGCCACCTAACGTGGTGAGTCCTTCTCAGCAAGGGTGATTGGAGCCACATGATCTGCCATCTCAGTGCTTCCCAGGGGAACACAGAGCTACTGGGCATGGTGGCTCACACGTGTAATCCCAGTACTTTAGGAGGCCGAGATGGGCAGATTGCGAAGTCAGGAGACTGAGACCATCCTGGATAACATGGTGAAACCCCGTCTCTACTAAAAATACAAAAAAAAATTAGCCAGGCGTGGTGGCGGGCGCCTGTAGTCCCAGCTACTCGGGAGGCTGAGGCAGAAGAATGGTGTGAACCCGGGAGGCGGAGCTTGCAGTGAGCCAAGATCACACCACTGCACTCCAGCCTGGGCAACAGAGTGAGACTTCATCTCAACAAAAAAAGAAAAGAAAAGAAAAACACAGAGCTGCACACCCCACAGAGTTCAGGCAGAAGGGGGTCTGCAGCGCTGGAAGACCCAGCAAGCCTGGCCCGTCTGGCTGCAAGTGGCAGGGGTGGGTGGAGTCACCCACTTCACCATCTGGGTGCTTTCCAGGGAAGCATGCAGCCACGACCCCGGGCAGAGTTCAGGCAGAAGCTGGGCCACTATGCTGGAAACTGGCCTTGAGCCTTGTGGAGTAACGGCAGGTGGAGCCATCTCACTGCTCCCACGCACCATGCCCGTGGCCTCTGCGGGGGCTGTGGTAACGGCACCCGACTGCTCTGGGGTCAATGCCTGCGGAGGTCCCCCTGGCTTCAGTGTTGCCTCTGCAAAAACCCCAGTTGCAGCCAGGTGCGGTGGCTCACGCTTGTAATCCCAGCACTTTGGGAGGCCGAGGCAGGTGGATCACTTGAAGTCAGGAGTTCAAGACCAGCCTGGCCAACATGGTGAAACCCCGTTTCTACTAAAAATACAAAAATTATCCAGGCATGGTGGTGGGCACCTGTAATCCCAGCTACTCGGAAGGCTGAGGCAGCAGAATTGCTTGAACCCGGGAGGCGGAGGAGCTGAGATTGCACCACTGCACTGCAGCCTGGGCGACAAAACAAGACTCTGTCTCGAAAAATAATAACAATAAAAAATAAAGATGGCAACCATAGACACTGGAGACTACTAGATGGGGGGGAAGAAAGGGGGTTGAAAAACTGCCTATTGGGTACTATGCTCAGTACCTGGGTGACAGGATCAATCGTACTCCAAACCTCAGCATCACAAATTATTTAAATTTTTCTCTTTTTTTAATTTTTTTGTTGTTGTTGTTGAGACGAAGTCTCACTCTGTTGCCCAGGCTGGAGTGCAGTGGTGTGATCTCGGCTCACTGCAAGCTCTGCCTCCCAGGTTCACGCCATTCTCCTGCCCCAATCTCCCGAGTAGCTGGGACTACACGCGCCCGCCACCACGTCCTGCTAATTTTTTGTATTTTCAGTAGACACGGGGTTTCACCGTGTTAGCCAGGATGGTCTTGATATCGTCACCTTGTGATCCACCCGCCTCGGCCTCCCAAAGTGCTGGGAATACAGGCGTGAGCTACCGCACCCGGCCTAAATTTTTTTTTAAATAAAGAATGGTAGGTTCTTCACACCCTAATGTATTTTTACTTCTCCCACAGAGAAGGAAAGGAATGGCTTCCCCATGGCAAGCCACCTCAGTCTGGGCTTTCTTTTCTTCCAGGGGACTTTCCCATGCCTTTCATATCTGCCAAATCGAGTCCTGTGATTCCCTTGGATGGATCTGTGAAAATCCAGTGCCAGGCCATTCGTGAAGCTTACCTGACCCAGCTGATGATCATAAAAAACTCCACGTACCGAGAGATAGGCAGAAGACTGAAGTTTTGGAATGAGACTGATCCTGAGTTCGTCATTGACCACATGGACGCAAACAAGGCAGGGCGCTATCAGTGCCAATATAGGATAGGGCACTACAGGTTCCGGTACAGTGACACCCTGGAGCTGGTAGTGACAGGTAAGGAAACATCCAGGGTCCACAGCCCTGGTGTGATTTTTTTCTTATTTTTAATAGAGTATTTTTCAAGAAGTTTTAGATTTACAAACAAAAAAAAATTGATGATTGCTTCAGAGAGTTCTCAGCCATCTGGCACCCCACTTCCCCCAGAGTTAACATCTTACATTAGTATGGCACATTTCTTACCATTAATGAACAAATATCGACACATTCCCAGCTACAGTCTACAGTTTATTTACATTTTCTTAGTTTTTACCTGATAGTCTTTCTCTGTTCCAGGATCCCATTCAAGATTTCACATTGCGGCTGGGAGTGGTGGCTCACGCCTGTAATCCCAACACTTAGGGAAGCCGAGGCGGGTGGATCACCCAAGGTCAGGAGTTCGAGACCAGCCTGGCCAACATGGTGAATTCCCCGTCTCTACTGAAAATGCAACAATCGCTGGGCGCGGTGGCTCACGCCTGTAATCCCAACACTTTGGGTGGCTGAGGTGGGTGGATCACCTGAGGTCAGGAGTTCGAGACCAGCCTGGCCAACACAGTGAAACCTCGTCTCTACTAAAAATGGAAAAAATTGGCCAGGCCTGGTGGCACACGCCTGTAATCCCAGCTACTTGGGAGGCTGAGGCAGGAGAATCGCTTGAACCCAGGAGGCAGAGGTTGCAGTGAGCCAAGATCACACCACTGCACTCCAGGCTGGGCGACAGGGCGAGACTCCATCTCACACACACACACACAAAAAGATTTCACATTGCATTCAGGTGTCATGTATCTTTATTTTTTTTTTTTTTTTTTTTTTTGAGATGGAGTCCCGCTGTGTTGCCCAGGCTGGAGTGCAGTGGCACAATCTCGGCTCACTGCAAGCTCCAACCTCCCGGGTTCACGCCATTCTCCTGCCTCAGCCTCCCGAGTAGCTGGGACTACAGGCGCCCGCCACCACGCCTGGCTAATTTTTTGTATTTTTAGTAGAGATAGGGTTTCACTGTGTTAGCCAGGATGGTCTCAATCTTCTGACCTCGTGATCCGCCCGCCTGGCCTCCCAAAGTGCTGGGATTACTGGCGTGAGCCACCACGCCCGGCCCCCGAAAATGCTGGGATTACAGGCATGAGCCACCGCACCTGGCCTCCCAAAGTGCTGGGATTCCAGGCGTGAGCCACCGTGCCCGGCAGGTGTCATGTATCTTTAGGTTTGTCTTGGCTGTCACAGCTTCTCAGATGTTGCTGGTTTTCCATGACCTTGTCAGTTTTGAGGGTAGTGGTCCATTATTTTCAAGGGTACTCCCACTACTGGAAATTGTCCGATGTTTTGCTCATGACTAGACTGAGTTATGGGTCATTGCAGGCAAGACCACAGAAGCAAAGTGCCATTTCATCTCCTCATAGCAAAGGTTTAAACTGTCCATGGGAACATGACTGTGGATGTTGAGCTGGCTGTTGTTGAAAGCCTGGCTGAAGTAGTAACTGTGGCCAGACACCGTGGCTCGTGCCTGTAATCCCAGCACTTTGGGAGGCTGGGCGCCGTGGCTCACGCCTGTAATCCCAGCACTTTGAGAAGCCGAGATGGGCAGATCACTTAAGCCCAGGAGACCAGCCTGGGCAACATAGTAAGACCCCATCTGTACAAAAAATCAAAAAATTAGCTGGGCATGGTGGCACCCACCTGTAGTCTCAGTTACTTGAGAGGCTGAGATGGTAGGATCACCTGAGCCTGGGAGGTCGAGGCTGCAGTGAGCCGTGATTATGCCACTGCCCTCAGCCTGGGCGACAGAGTGAGACCCTCTCTAAAATAAATAAATTCTAAAAAAGAAAAAAGAGGCTGGGCACTGTGGTTCACGCCTGTAATCCCAGCACTTTGGGAGGCTGAGGCAGGTGGATCACCTGAGGTCAGGGATTCAAGACCAGCCTGACCAACATGGAGAAACCTCATCTTTACTAAAAATACAAAAATTAGCTGGGCGTGGTGGCGGGTGCCTGTAATCCCAGCTACTCGGGAGGCTGAGGCAGGAGACTCACTTGAACCTCGGAGGTGGAGGTTGCAGTGAGCTGAGATCGTGCCACTGCACTGCAGCCTCAGTGACAGAGTGAGACTCCATCTCAAAAAACAATAATAGGCTGGGCACAGTTGCTCATGCCTGTAATCCCAGCACTTTGGGAGGCCAAGGTGGGCAAATCACCTGAGGTCAGGAGTTCGAGACCAGCCTGACCAACATGGAGAGACCCCGTCTCTACTAAAAATACAAAAATTAGCTGGGCGTGGTGGTACGCACCTGTAATCCCAGTTTCTCGGGAGGCTGAGGCAGGAGAATTGCTTGAACCCGGGAGACGGAGGTTGCAGTGAGCTGAGATCACGCCACTGCACTCCAGCTTGGGCAATAAGAGCGAAACTCCATCTCAAAAAAATATATAATAATAACAATAATAAGAAGAAGAAAAGAATAAAGGAGAAAAGGTCTTTCTAATAGCTCACTCTTTTCTCTCTTAGGCTTGTATGGCAAACCCTTCCTCTCTGCAGATCGGGGTCTGGTGTTGATGCCAGGAGAGAATATTTCCCTCACGTGCAGCTCAGCACACATCCCATTTGATAGATTTTCACTGGCCAAGGAGGGAGAACTTTCTCTGCCACAGCACCAAAGTGGGGAACACCCGGCCAACTTCTCTTTGGGTCCTGTGGACCTCAATGTCTCAGGGATCTACAGGTGCTACGGTTGGTACAACAGGAGCCCCTACCTGTGGTCCTTCCCCAGTAATGCCTTGGAGCTTGTGGTCACAGGTAGGTACCGCCCAGTCCAGCCCTGTGTCTGGGTTGGCTGTCCAGGGCCTTGCCACCGGGCAGGAATATGAAGACGTGCACTGAGAGTGAAGTGAAGAGAGGCAAAGGCTCTCACTCCAGGACAGTGGAGAGAGAAAGGCTTCCCCACCACACTTTCCGCTTTCACTTCCTCGCTAGAGTTCTCCAGACAGGGTTCATTGAAAACTTAGTCTGTGGAGAACAGAAGGGCTAACTCAGTTTGTTTCATTTTATTTATTTCATTTTATTTTCCGGGATAGAGTCTTGCTCTTTCGCCAAGGCTGGAGTGCAGTGGCACGATCTCGACTCACTGCAACCTTCGCCTCCCAGGTTCAAGCAATTCTCCTGCCTCAGCCTCCTGAGTAGCTGGGACCACACAGACAGGGTTTCACCATGTTGGCCAGGCTGGTCTCGAACTCCCGACCTCAGGTGATCCACCTGCCTCGGCCTCCCAAAGTGCTGGGATTACAGGCGTGAGCCACCGCGCCTGGCCAGGCTGCACACATTCTTATTAGGATTCCACCTTGTTCTGGTGTTGTAGAGATGTGATTAGGTATTTAGTGAATTCACCAAGTGAGGAGAGAATGAAAAGAAAACACAACCTGCCTGGCCGGGCGTGGTGGCGTGAGCCTGTCGTCCCAGCTACTCAGGAGGCTGAGGCAGGAGAATCACTTGAACCCAGGAGGCAGCTGTTGCAGTGAGCCAAGATCACGCCATTGCACTCCAGCCTGGGTGACAGAACGAGACTCCACCTCAAGAAAAAAAAAAAAAACATGGTTGGGCACGATGGCTCACGCCTGTAATCTGAGCACATTGGGAGGCTGAGGCAGGTGGATCACCTGAGGTCGGGAGTTCGAGACCAGCCTGGCCAACATAGTGAAACCCCATCTCCACTAAAAATACAAAAATTAACCAGGCGTGGTGGTGGTGGGCGCCTGTAATCCCAGCTACTTGGGAGGCTGAGGCAGGAGAATCACTTGACCAGGGAGGCGGAGGTTGCAGTGAGCCGAGATCACGCCACTGCACTCCAGCCTGGGCAACAGAGTGAGACTCCATCTCAAAAAAAAAAAAAAAAAAAAACACACACAACCTGCCCATAATCACCTCCTTCCCAGTTTATAGCACTTCCCTGGGAAGCACAGTTCCTTGCCCGTGAACACAGTCTTGCTGACTGATCAGTGTGGTGCTGGCGAAGCATGAGCTCATTGAGGGGATGCTTGAGGGAGTCCCATTTTGGCAAGCGAAAAGGAAAATGAGCTCCCGTTTCAGGGCTCTGGGGTTGGGATGGAATGGAACACAACCACCAACCATTCATCTCCTTGAATTGTGTCTCCAGACTCCATCCACCAAGATTACACGACGCAGAACTTGATCCGCATGGCCGTGGCAGGACTGGTCCTCGTGGCTCTCTTGGCCATACTGGTTGAAAATTGGCACAGCCATACGGCACTGAACAAGGAAGCCTCGGCAGATGTGGCTGAACCGAGCTGGAGCCAACAGATGTGTCAGCCAGGATTGACCTTTGCACGAACACCAAGTGTCTGCAAGTAAACACCTGGAGGTGAAGGCAGAGAGGAGCCAGGACTGTGGAGTCCGACAAAGCTACTTGAAGGACACAAGAGAGAAAAGCTCACTAAGAAGCTTGAATCTACTTTTTTTTTTTTTTGAGACAGAGTCTGGCTCTGTCACCCAGGCTGGAGTGCAGTGGAGCAATCTCGGCTCATTGAACCTCTTGGGTTCAAGTGATTCTTGTGCCTCAGCCTCCCAAGTAGCTGGAATTACAGGCACATACCACTGCACCCAGCTAATTTTTGTATTTTTAGTAGAGATGGGGTTTCACTGTGTTGGCCAGGCTGGTCTCGAACTCCTGACCTCAGGTGATCCACCCACCTTGGCCTCCCAAAGTGCTGAGATTATAGGCATGAGCCACCACGCCTGGCCAGATGCATGTTCAAACCAATCAAATGGTGTTTTCTTATGCAGGACTGATCGATTTGCACCCACCTTTCTGCACATAAGTTATGGTTTTCCATCTTATCTGTCTTCTGATTTTTTATATCCTGTTTAATTTCTTCCTTCATTGTTCTTCTCTTTTTTTATTTATTTTATTTATTTTTATTTTTATTTTTATTTGAGACAGAGTCTCACTCTGTTGCCCAGGCTGGAGTGCAGTGGCACGATCTCGGCTCACTGCAACCTCTGCCTCCTGGGTTCAAGTGATTCTCCTGCCTCGGCCTCCCAAGTAGCTGGGATTGCAGGCTCCCACCATCACGCCCAGCTACTTTTACAGTATTTTTAGTAGAGACGGGGTTTCATCACATTGGCCAAGCTGGTCTCAAACTTCTGACCTCGTGATCTGCCCGCCTCGGCCTCCCAAAGTGCTGGGATTACAGATGTGAGCCACTGCGCCCAGCCTTCTTTTTATATTTTTAAATGTGTCTTCCCCAAATATAAATGGTTGGTAAGCATGCCAAATATATTCAATAACCCCCCTCCTTTATTTTTTTTTGTTGAAGTGAGGCTCTCCCTATGTTGCCTAAGCTGGTCTTGAACTCCTGGTCTCAAGCAATCCTCCTACCTCAGCCTCCTGCTGTGTTCATCTACAAATTGATAAGAGTGAAAGTCATAATCCTACAGGAGGATTACCCTATTTATTTCACAAACCCTATTTCTACCGGATTTTCATACAAGGAATACAGGCATGTGTTTCACCTCATTAATTTATTTTTTCACTTAGTTTTGATGATATTCACATATATTATCAAGTGTGCAAACATTAAATTCTTGTGTACAAAACTCAAATGGTCTTCCAAATAATTCCCCATTCTTTTTTCTTATAAACTTTCACAGCTTTACCCTTGACAGACTTTACTCAAGGAAATCTAAGTTGGTCATATGTGGCTCTTTCACTGATTGCTATTTACTTCATTGTCCAGTAGCTTATGTATGAAAATATAATTATAAAATGTAAGGGTCCTACTTCCAGTGAAACTGAAGGGACTTAGGCCCACTTTTATCCTTTACTGAGAGCTTATCTCTACTTGATAAAATTTCTACTGTATTCTTGGCTTAACTCAGGTCCTGTGATTAAAAAAAAAATGCAAAGTATTTCTAACTTTCTTTATTGACTGCTTTTCACACTTTATACAAGTTCTGGCCCATATCTTCAGTTTGTTCTGATTTTTTTCACCAGGTGTGGTGGCAGGTGCCTGTAGTCCCAGCTACTCCAGGGGCTGAGGCAGGAGAATGGCGTGAACCTGGGAGGCGGGGCTTGCAATGAGCTGAGATCACGCCACTACACTCCAGCCTGGGCCACAGAGCGAGACTCCGTCTCAAAAGTAAACAAACAAATAAATAATAAATAAATAAATAAAGGGAAAGTGCCACAATTTTGGATGAAGGGGGTTGAGGGACTTTACGTCAGGTCCAGGACTTGGATTACAGAGACACAATGGGGCTAGATTCCCAGAGATGGATAAGATTAAACTCATATAAGTCGTTTTGCTGACAGAAGGACCTTGTTTGGAAAAAGCGTTTTCAGAATAATAAAGTTCCTGAGCTCTTCAGAAAAGTATTTTATTGTCCTGTAACCACAGTAACAAGTAGCCACCAAAACTGATTTTTAACCCATCATCAATGACAACTCATCTCTGTGAAGATGCTCTTTTTTTTTTTTTTTTTTTTTGAGACGGGGTCTTGCTCTGTCACCCAGGCTGGGGAGCAGTGACGTGACCTCGGCTCCCTGCAACCTCTCTTTCCCGGGTTCAGCAATTCTCCTGCCTCAGCCTCCCCAGTAGCTGGGATTATAGGCACCTGCCACCACACGCAGATAATTTTTGTATTTTTAGTACAGACGGGTTTCGCCATGTTGGCCAAGCTGGTCACAAACTTCTGACCTCAGGGTGATCTGCCTGCCTCAGCCTCTCAAAGTGCTGGGATTACAGGAGTGAGCCACAAAGCCCGGCCACTCCATACGTTTTATATTGTTATGTTACCATCAGTCAGGCAGCTCCTTGCTTCTAAAAGTCATCCAATCAGACTCATTTCAGTAAACACCCAAGCATGAGTGACAACCAATCAAAGTAATATCTTCCCAATGACCACACTTTTCCAGATGACGTCAAGCCACAGAAGGCCCTGAAAATCCAACAATCTCTGAAGTATACATTTCCCAGGCTGAGCGCAGTGGCTCACACCTGAAATCCCAGCACTTTGGGAGGCTAAGGCAGGCAGATCACGAGGCCAGGAGTTCGAGACCAGCCTGGCCAACATGGCAAAACCCCGTCTCTACTAAAAATACAAAAATTAGCCAGGTGTGGTGGCACGCACCTGCATTACCAGCTACTGAGGAGGCTGAGGCAGGAGAATGGCTTGAACCCAGGAGGCGGAGGTTGCAGTGAGCCAAGATCGTACCACCGCACTCCAGCCTTGGTGACAGAGCAAGACTCCATCTCAACAACAACAACAAAAATGGTTGAAATAAAACTTCTATGTGTTGAACGATTCCTCTTTTAGGCATAGAGTTTCAGTTTTACAAGATGAAAATATTCTGGAGATCTGTTTCAAAACACCGTGAATACATTTAACACTGCTATACTGTACACTTACAATGGCTAAGATGGTAAATTGTATGTTATGTTTTTACTACAATTTTTTTTTTTTTTTTTCTGAGACAGAGTCTCACTCTTGTTGCCCAGGCTGGAGTGCAATGGTGCGGTCTCGGCTCACCGCAACCTCCGCCTCCTGGGCTCAAGCCATTCTCCTGCCTCAGCCTCCAGAGCAGCTGGGATTACAGGCATGCGCCACCACGCCTGGCTAATTTTATATTTTTAGAAGAGACGGGGTTTCTCCATGTTGGTCAGGCTGGTCTCGAACTCTGGACCTCAGGTGATCCACCCGCCTTGGCCTCCCAAAGTGCTGGGATCACAGGCGTGAGCCACCACGCCTGGCCTACAATTTTTTTTTAACTTTTTTTTCTGAGATGGAGTCTCGCTCTTGTCACCCAAGTTGGAGTGCAGTAGTGTGATCTCGGCTCACTGCAACCTCTGCCTCCCTGGTTCAAGGGATTCTCCTGCCTCAACCTCCCAAGTGTGGGAGATCAGTCAGAGTAGCAGAAGAAATTATAGGAATAGGAAGCAGCAAACCTTCTTGGAAGGCCAGGGAGGTTGGCATAGCTTCAGATAGTTTGGCTGAAAGCAGCCAGATTCTCTTTTCAGGAGCCAAACAGCTTAGGGCGCAGATACAAAGGAATGCGGAGTATTTTATCTAAATAGCTTGCTTAGTCATATGGTCCTAAAATCAACCTTTGATCATTCTCGGGCAAGATGGCCCTCTCCAGGGAGGTGGCGGGGGGCGGTGACCAGGTTAATTACCCACAGGTGTGTTGACTCAAAGCCTTTGTTAATTAAATCTGTGCTAAATAAATGCAAGCGTTGCCAGCTTAGAGGGGCTGCACTCTCTTTGGCTCCTAGTGCCGGCAGCCCCCTGGCCTGCTCTTTCACTGAATATTGGTGTCTGAGGACGTGTCTCATCTGTCGTACAGCTGGGATCTGCAGAACAGATCCCCCCCGCACCCAAGAAGCTGGGATTACAGGCACCCGCCGCCATGCCCAGCTCATTTTTGTATTTTTAGTAGAGACAGGGTTTCACCATGTTGGTCAGGCCGGTCTCGAACTCCCGGCCTCAGGTGATCTGCCCGCCTCAGCCTCCCAAAAGTGCTTGGATTACAGGCATGAGCCACTGCGCCTGGCCTTAGAAAACTTCTTTTTCTTTTTTTTTTTTTTTTTTTTTTGAGACAGAGTTTCACTCTGTCGCTACGCTGGTGTGATCTGGGCTCACTGCAATCTCCGCCTCCCAGGTTCAAGTGATTCCCCTGCCTCAGCCTCCCGAGTAGCTGGAACTACAGGTGCGCACCGCCACGCCCGGCTAATTTCTTGTATTTTCGTGGAGACGGGGTTTCACCATGTTGGCTAGGCTGGTCTGTTTCATGCGCGTCCGTGTGAAGAGACCACCAAACAGGCTCTGTGTGAGCAACAAGGCTGTTTATTTCACCTGGGTGCAGGCAGGCTGAGTCCGACAAGAGAGTCAGCGAAGGGGGATAGGGGTGGGGCCGTTTTATAGGATTTGGGTAGGTAAAGGAAAATTACAGTCAAAGGGGGGTTGTTCTTTGGTGGGCAGGAGTGGGGGGTCACAAGGTGCTCAGTAGGGGAGCTTTTGAGTCAGGATGAACCAGAAGAAGGAATTTCACAAGATAATGTCATCAGTTAAGGCAGGAACAGGCCATTTTCATTTCTTTCGTGGTGGAATGTCATCAGTTAAGGCAGGAACCGGCCATCTGGATGTGTACGTGCAGGTCACAGGGGATATGATGGCTTAGCTTGGGCTCAGAGGCCTGACATTCCTGTCTTCTTATATTAATAAGAAAAATAAAACGAAATAGTGGTAAAGTGTTGGGATGGCGAAAATTTTGGGGGGTGGTATGGAGAGAGAATGGGCGATGTTTCTCAGGGCTGCTTCGAGCGGGATTAGGGGCGGCGTGGGAACCTAGAGTGGGAGAGATTAAGCTGAAGGAAGATTTTGTGGTAAGGGGTGATATTGTGGGATTGTTAGAAGAAACATTTTTCATTTAGAATTACTGGTGATGGCCTGGATGCAGTTTTGTATGAATTGAAAAACTAAATGGAATAAGGAAAGGAGAAAAACAGGTATTAAAGGTCTAAGAATTGGGAGGACCTAGGACATCTAATTAGAGAGTGCCTAAGGAGGTTCAGCATAGCCTTGCCAGCAAAGATTATTTATTTACTTCAAGAGTTAAGAGTGGTGGTTTGGGGATAGCACCAGGAGATATCAGCTGTGATGGCTTGGAAAAACAGTGTAAACCAGCAGTGTAAACAAGAGCAGGGCATGTGTGAGTAGTTGAGAATGGTGAATAGGAGTATGACTAGACAGAAGATAGTAGGGATGACAAGTTTTTGGGGGCACATTCCAAGTTGGTCTGGTGTCTGGAATGAGACTGGGGCTTAATAAAAAGGAGCGTCTATACAGGAGCTCAAATGGGCTGTACCCTTTAGCATTCTGAGGACAGGCCTGAATTCTGAGAAAAGAAAGTGGTAAAAGTATTGTCCAGTCTTTTTTAAGTTGGTGGCTGAGCTTGGTGAGGTGTGTTTTTAAAAGACTATTAGTCTGTTCTACTTTTCCTGAAGACTGAGGACTGTAAGGGATATAAAGGTTTCACTGAATACCAAGAGCCTGAAAAACTGCTTGGCTGATTTGACTAATAAAGGCCGGTCTGCTATCAGACTGTATAGAGGTGGGAAGGCCAAACTGTGGAATTATGTCTGACAGAAGGGAAGAAATGACCTCGGTGGCCTTCTCAGACCCTGTGGGAAAGGCCTCTACCCATCCAGTGAAAGTGTCTACCCAGACCAAGAGGTATTTTAGTTTCCTGACTCAGGGCATGTGAGTAAAGTCAATTTGCCAGTCCTAGGCGGGGGCAAATCCCCGAGCCTGATGTGTAGGGAAGGGAGGGGACCTGAGCAATCCCTGAGGGGTAGTAGAATAGCAGATGGAACACTGAGAAGTGGTTTCCTTGAGGATAGATTTCCAGGATGGAAAGGAAATGAGAGGTTCTAAGAGATGGGCTAGCAGCTTGTAACCTACATGGAAGAGGCTATGAAATATCGACCGAATAGAATGGGCCTGTGAGGCTGGAAGGAGGTATTTTCCTTGGTCTAAGAACCATTTGCCTTGTGTGGGAAGAGATTGATGGGTGGAAGTTTCAGTGGGGGAGTAGGTGGGAGTGACTGATGAGAAGGAGAAAAACTGGCTGTGGGGGACAGAAATTGGCATGCTAGCTGCTTGTCTAGCTACCTTATCAGCATAAGCATAGATGTGAGAGACAGAAGTTGGAAAGCTAGCTGCTTGTCTAGCCACCTTGTCAGCATAGGCATTGTCTAGAGCAATGGGATCTGATGACTTTTGATGGCCTTTGCAGTGAATGACTCCAGCTTCCTCTGGGAGTAAAGCGGCCTTGAGCAGAGTTTTTATTAAGGAGGCATTAAAGATGGAGGACCCTTGTGTAGTGAGGAAACCTCTTTCAGCCCATATGACCGCATGGTGGGGCAGAATATGAAAGGCATATTTAGAGTCAGTATAAATATTGATGCATAGTCCTTTTGCATCAGTGAGGGCTTGAGTTAAGGCAACTAATTCGGCTTGCTGAGAGGTAGTGGAGGGGGCAGAGCGGTAGCCTCAATGATAGATGTGGAAGATACTATAGCATAGCCTGCCTTTGCTGGTGAGTGGCGATTAGGCCTGGTGGAACTGCCATCAATAAACTAAATGTGATTAGGGTGAGGAATAGGAAAGAAGGAAATGTGGGGAAATGGGGTGAATGTCAGGTGGATCAGAGAGATACAGTCATGGGGGTCAGGTGTGGTATCCGGAATAATGTGGGAGGCCGGATTGAAGTATGGGCCAGTAACAATGGTAATTGTGGGAGACTCAACAAAGAGTGAGTACAGCTGAAGGAGCCGGGGAGCAGAAAGTATATGCGTCAGGTGTGAGGAAGAAAATAGATTTTTGGAAGTTATGAGAACTGTAGAGAGTGAGTTGAGCATAGTTTGTGATTTTGAGGGCCTCTAAAACTATTAAAGCAGCGGCAGCCGCTGCTCACAGACGTGAGGGCTAGGCTAAAACAGTAAGATCAAGTTGTTTGGACAGAAAGGCTACAGGGTGCGGTCCTGGCTCTTGTGTAAGAGTTCTGACCACGCTAACCATGCCTAGGAAGGAAAGGAGTTGTTGTTTTGTAGAAGGTGCTGGGGTTTGAGAGATCACTAGGACACGATTGGCAGGGAGAGCACGTGTGTTTTTATGAGAATTATGCCGAGATAGGTAACAGAGGAGGAAGAAATTTGGGCTTGACTGAAGTAATGGGGGCTGTCTGTGAAGCCTTGCAGCAGTACAGCCTAGGTAATTTGCTGAGCTTGATCGGTGTCAGGGTCAGTCCAAGTGAAAGCGAAGAGAGGCTGGGATGAAGGGTGCAAAGGAACAGTAAAGAAAGCATGTTTGAGATCCAGAACAGAATAATGGGTTGTAGAGGCAGGTATTGAGGATAGGAGAGTATATGGGTTTGGCACTACGGGGTGGATAGGCAAAACAATTTGGTTGATAAGGTGCAGATCCTGAACTAATGTGTAAGCCTTGTCTGGTTTTAGGACAGGTAAAATGGGAGAATTGTAAGGGGAGTTTATAGGCTTTAAAAGGCCATGCTGTAGCAGGCTTTAATCCTTTTAAAGCATGCTGTGGGATGGGATATTGGCATTGAGCGGGGTAAGGTTGATTAGGTTTTAATGAGATGGTAAGGGGTGCATGATTGGTCACCAAGGAGGGAGTAGAGGTATCCTATACTTGTGGGTTAAGGTGGGGGGATACAAGAGGAGGACACAAAGGAGGCTTTGGATTGGGAAGAAGGGCAGCAATGAGATATAGCTGTAGTCCAGGAATAGTCAGGGAAGCAGATAATTTAGTTAAAGTGTCTCAGCCTAATAAGGGAACTGGGCAGGTGGGGATAACTAAAAAGGAGTGCTTGAAAGAGTATTGTCTAAGTTGGCACCAGAGTTGGGGAGTTTTAAGAGGTTTAGAAGCCTAGCTGTCAATACCTACAACAGTTATGGAGGCAAGAGAAACAGGCCCTTGAAAAGAAGGTAATGTGGAGTGGGTAGCCTCCATATTGATTAAGAAGGGGACGGGCTTACCTTCCACTGTGAGAGTTACCTAGACTGTCTGTGATGGTCCTGTAGGCTTCCGAGGCGATCGGGATCGGGCAGTGTCAGTCTTCAGCTGCTAAGCCGAGAAGATCTGGGAAGGAGTCAGAGAGCCTTGGGCCAGAGTTCTAGCTGCTCTGGGAGTGGCTGCCAGGTGAGTTGAACAGTCCGATTTTCAGTGGGGTCCCGCACAGATGGGATGCGGCTTAGGAGGAATCCCAGGCTGTGGACATTCCTTGGCCCAGTGGCCAGATTTCCAGTACTTGTAGCAAGCTCCTGGGGGAAGAGGTTCTGGAGGAACCCCTGGCAGCTGCGGTTCAGGCGTTTGGAGTTCTCGTGTGCTGGAGATGTGGCTGGGGTTTGTCTCATCTGGATACTGGAGTGGAGGCAAGGAATTGCAACTCAGAAATATGTTGCTATTTGGCTGCCTCTACTCTATTACTGTACACCTTGAAGGCGAGGTTAATTAAGTCTTGTTGTGGGGTTTGAGGGACAGAATTTAATTTTTGGAGCTTTATTTAATGTTGGGAGCAGATTTGGTAATAAAATGTATATTGAGAATAAGACGGCCTTTTGACTTAGGGTCTAGGGCTGTAAAGCGTCTCAGGGTTGCTGCCAAATGAGCCATGAACTGGGCTGTGTTTTTAAATTTGATGAAAAAGAGCCTAAACACTATCTGATTTGGGAGAGGTCAGATAAAGAAAAAGGAGCATTAACCTTGACTATGCCTTTAGCTTCAGCCACCTTTTTAAGAGGAAATTGCTGGGCAGTTGGGGGAGGGCTAGTCATGGAATGGAACTGTAAGCTGGACCGGGTGTGAGGAGGGGAGGTGATAAAAGGATTATAGGGTGGAGGAGCGGAGGCTGAGGAAGAATTGGGACCCAGCTCGGCCTGGCGAGGAGGGGAGATGTCAGATGGGTCTGTAGAAAAGGAAGATTAGAAAGACTCAGCGATGCTTGGGGTTGGGACTGACGGGACAGGCGGGAGGGAAAGAAGGAAGATTTGGGACGAGTTGCACTGGGCATAGAGACTAGGGAGGGACCGATGTGTAAAAGAATGCCTGGATGTCAGGCACCTCAGACCGTTTGCCCATTTTACAACAAGAATTATTTAGATCTTGTAGGATGGAAAAATTGAAAGTGCCGTTTTCTGGCTATTTGGAACCACTGTCAAGTTTGTATTGGGGTCAAGCAGCATTGCAGAAGAAAATAAGGCATTTAGGTTTTAGGTCAGGTGTGAGTTGAAGAGGTTTTAGGTTTTTAAGAACACAGGCTAAGGGAGAAGAAGGAGGAATGGAGGGTGGAAGGTTGCCCATACTGAAGGAGGCAAGCACAGAGAAAAGAGAGAGTAGAGACATGGAGGGAAGGGGTTCAGGGGTTCTTACCTTCCAGAAAAGCGGGAAAGGGGTCAGGGCACAGAAGTAAGGGATTGGGGTGCAGAGACAAGAGGTCGGGGTGTGGAAATAAGGGATCGGGGTGCAGAGATAAGACGTCAGGGCACAGAAATAAGGGATCGGGGGATTCTTGCCCCCTAGAAAAGCGGTACTTGCCACTAAGGGTGAAGGAGAAGGGGTTGGGGGGTTCTTGCCCCCCCAGAAAAGCAGAGAAGGGGTAGAGACACAGAGAAGGAGTTGGGGGTTCTTGCCCCCCCAGAAAAGCAGTACTTGCCACTAAGGGTGAAGGACCAAGGCAGGCATCCCCATGTGGTCAGACACCTCTGAAACGTGGGTGAATAATCAGAGAGGTGTCCCCGCGTGATTAAACACCAAGGGAAGGCTGCCTTCCCGAGTCCATGACCGGCGCTGGAGTTTTGGGTCCACGAATAAAGCGCGTCTCCTGTCTCTACCAGAAAAGGAAAGGAACTGAAATTAAGAGAAGGGAGAGATTGAAGAGTGGAAAGGAGAAAGTGGTTGAGGGATAGTGAGAGAGGTTGGAGAAGAGAGTAAAAAGAGGCTGCTTACTGGATTTAAAATTGGTGAGATGTTCCTTGGGCTGGTTGGTCTGAGGACGAGAGGTCGTAGGTGGATCTTTCTCATGGAGCAAAGAGCAGGAGGACAGGGGATTGATCTCCTAAGGAAGATCCCCTGATTCGAGTTATGGCACCAAATTTCACTCACGTCCGTGTGAAGAGACCACCAAACAGGATTTGTGTGAGCAACAAGGCTGTTTATTTCACCTGGGTGCAGGCGGGCTGAGTCCAGAAAGAGAGTCAGCAAAGGGAGATAGGAGTGCGGCCGTTTTATAGGATTTGGGTAGGTAAAGGAAAATTACAGTCAAAAGGGGGTTGTTCTCTGGCGGGCAGGAGTGGGGTTCACAAGGTGCTCAGTAGGGGAGCTTTTGAGCCGGGATGAGCCAGGAGAAGGAATTTCATAAGATAATGTCATCACTTAAGGCAAGAACAGGCCATTTTCATTTCTTTCGTGGTGGAATGTCATCAGTTAAGGCAGGAACCGGCCATCTGGATGTGTACATACAGGCCACAGGGGGATATGATGGCTTAGCTTGGGCTCAGAGGCCTGACAGTCTGGATCACCTGACCTGGTGATCCGCACACCTCGGCCTCCCAAAGTGCTGGGATTACAGGCATGACCCACTGCACCTGGCCTTAGAAAACTTCTTAAATATTAAAATGTATGTTATGTGTATTTTGCCACAATTTTTGAAAAGTACCTTCTGGTGTTTAGAGACAGAAGATGAGTGGTTGCCTAGGGCCGGGAGAGTGAGGGGATCGTGGTGATGGGCAGCTGGTCGGCATGGGGTTCTGAAGGGCAGTGATGACAACATTCTAAAATTAGACTGTGTTGACGGTTGCACCAACTCCGTGAATACCACAAAATTTAAACCATTGAATTATGCACTTTTAATGGGTAATTGTATGGCATGTAAATTATATCTCAATAAAGTTATATTTTTAAATACCAAAAAAAGGCCGGGTGCGGTGGCTCACGCCTGTAATCCCAGCACTTTGGGAGGCCGAGAAGGGCGGATCACGAGGTCAGGAGATGGAGACCATCCTGGCTAACATGGTGAAACCCCATCTCTACTTTGAAAAAAAAAAAAAAAGATTACCCGGACGTGGTGGTGGGCACCTGTAGTCCTAGCTACTCAGGAGGCTGAGGCAGGAGAATGGCATAAACTCGGGAGGCAGAGCTTGCAGTGAGTCGAGATTGCGCCACTCAGGAGGCTGAGGCAAGAGAATGGCATAAACCCCGGAGGCAGAGCTTGCAGAGAGCCGAGATTGCGCCACTGCACTCCAGCATGGGTGACAGAGCGAGAGTCCATCTCAAAAAAAAAAAAAAAAAAAAAAAAGATTAGTAATATCCTCTGTGTCACTTACCACTTAAGTGATTGAATCACGACTTGAAATTCATCATCTCAAACATGGCTTAGAGTCTGTAGAGGGGGGACAGTCCCAGGAATGCTGGTGTGGGCTTAAGGCTGAATTAAATAGATCCAGATGGCTCACACCTGTAATCCCAATACCTTGGGAGGCCGAGGCAGGTGGGAGGCTGAGGCAGGCGGATCACTGGAGCTCCTGGAGCGAAGAAAGGATGCTAGTGGAAAAACTGGTGAAATCAGAATAAAGTCTATAGTTTTATTTTTTAAAGGAGGCTGGGCGTGGTGGCTCATGCCTCTAATCCCAGCACTTTGGGAGGCTGAGGCAGGTGGATCAGTTGAGTTCAGGAGTTCAAAACCAGCCTGGCCAACTTGACGAAACCCCATCTCTACTAGAAATACAAAAATTAGCTGGGCGTGGTTGTGGGTGCCTCTAATCCCAGCTACTCAGGAAGCTGAGGCAAGAGAATTGCTTGAACCCAGGAGGCGGAGGTTGCAGTGAGCTGAGATCACACCATTGCACTCCAGCCTGGGCTACAGAGCAAGATTCCATCTCCAAATAAGAGAGACATGACAATTAAATAAATTGTGTAATCTTGGATTAAATCCTAAACCAAATATATGTCACTGGTAAAACAAGTGGTGAAATTTGAATAAAGTGGATAGATCAGACAATAGTGTCATATCAGTGCTATTTCTTGACCTTGAACATTAATAACAGAATGTCCTTGGTTTTGGGAAATATAACCTGAAGTGATTAGAGGTTTAGGGCATCATATGCAAATTAGACACACTTTCTTCGGGGAGAGAGGGAGAGGGAGAGAGGCTGAATGATGAAGCAAATGTGGTAAAATGCTAACTTTGGGGAAATCTGGATGAAGAAATTACAGATTTTTTTTTTTTTTATAGACAGGGTAACACTCTGTCACCCAGGCTAGAGTGCAGTGGCACGATCATGGCTCACTGCAGCTTCTACCTCCCTGGGCTCAGATGACCCTCTCACCTCAGCCTCCCAAGTAGCTGGGACTATAGGCGCACAGCACCACACCTGGCTAATTTTTGCATTTTTTTTTCCCCCAGGCTCGTCTCAAGCAATCCACCCACCTCGGCCTCCCAAAGTGCTGGGATTACAGGTGTGAGCCACTGCACCTGGCCAGAAATTCTTTAAACTATTTTTGCAAGTCTGGAATTATGTCAAAATTAAAAGCTCAAAATAATAAAAGACAATATTCTTATATTTCTTTGGTGAAGGTAACTATGTTATGGCTGAGAGGGTGGCTGAGGTCTGAGGATCCAGCCTACATAAGTCTCCTCCATAGAGGGCATCCAAGCGCTCCGTAGGGGGAAGGATAAAGAAAACACCCAGAGTTATGACAGCTGTGTAAGGGGAAACGCCAGCACCGAGTACTGAATCTTCAGTAAATAAGAAGGAGGCGGGCTGGGTGTGGTGGCTCACGCCTGTAATCCCAGCACTTTGGGAGGCTAAAGTGGGCTGATCACTTGAGGTCAAGAGTTCGAGACTAGCCTGGCCAACATGGGGAAACCCTGTCTCTACTAAAAATACAAAAATTAGTCGAGTGTGGTGGCACACGCCTGTAATCCCAGCTACTTGGGAGGCTAGAACAGGAGAATTGCTTGAACCCAGGAGGTGAAGGTTGCAGTGAGCTGAGATTGCACCACTGCACCCCAGCTTGAGGGACAGAGTGAGATTCCGTCTTAAAGAGAAAAAAAAAAGAATTAGCACATTTGTTTGCCTCAAGAAGATACAACTAGTCTTGTACAGTAGTCACATGTATCCACCAGGATATATTCCAAGGCCCCAGTGGATGCTGAAAACTACATAGTACCTTACATGTATATATATATGTATATACATATATACACATATACGTATATGTATACATACATGTATATATACATGTATGTATATACATATATGCATATATACATACATGTATATATACATGTATGTATATACATATATGTATATGTATGTATACACGCATACATGTATGTATACACGCATACATGTATGTATATACATATATGTATGTATACACGGATACATGTATGTATATACATATATGTATGTATACACGCATACATGTGTGTATACATATATATGCATGTATGCATGTGTGTATATATACATATATGTGTATATATACGCATATACATGTATGTGTATATATGCATGTGTATATATACATGTACGGTACTATGCAGTATATATACACATATATGTATATATGTATACATATATGTATAAATGTATATATGTGTATATATATAAAAGGTATATATGTATATATGTGTGTATATATAAAATGCATGAATTTCTTTTTTCTTACTGTAGATCTTAACAACTTCTGCATAGAATTTTTTTTTATTAAGTGGAGAGTTAGTTACTTACTTAAAAGAAATGTTTCTTGGCTGGGTGTGGTGGCTCACACCTGTAATCCCAGCACTTTGAGAGGCCGAGGCAGGAAGATTCACTTGAGGTGAGGAGTTGGAGACCATCCTGGCCAACGTGGTAAAAACCGGTCTCTACTAAAAGTACAAAAATGAGCTGGGCGTGGTGTTGGGTGTCTGTAGTCCCAGCTACTCAGGTGGCTGAGGCAGGAGAATTGCTTGAACCCACAAGGCAGAGGTTGCAGTGAGCTGAGATCACACCACTGCACCACAGCCTGGGCAACAGAGCAAGACTCTGTCTCAAAAAAAAAAAAAAAAAAGAAAGAAAAAGAAAAAGAAAAGAAATGTTTCTTTTCTTATTAAGTTCTTTAAATGAAAAGCTTTTCTTTTCACTTTTATTTTATTGAAACATTATAACACTATCTTTGAAGAAGATAGTGTTATCATTCCATTCTGATGAAACCAATTAACTTATCCAAGCATATGTATACTGTACACAGAGAAGCCAACGTCAAAACCCCTATTTTTATCTTTTTAGATTCAGCAGATACATGTGCAGGTTTTTTATGAGTATATTGCATGATGCTGAGGCTTGCATTAATGATCTAGTCACCAAATAGGTAGATTTTCAAGCCTTGCTCCCCTCCTTACCCAATGTTTAGCGCTCTCACTTATAAGTGAGAACATGTGGTATTTGGTTTTCTTTTCTTTTTTTTTTTTTTTTTTGAGATGGAGTTTCACTCTTGTTGCCCAGGCTGGAGTACAATGGCACCATCTCGGCTCACTGCAACCTTCACCTTCCAGGTTCAAGCAATTCTCCTGCCTCAGCCTCCCGAGTAGTTGGGACTACAGGCATGTGCCACCACACCCGGCTAATTTTGAATTTTTAGTAGAGACAGGGTTTCTGCATGTTGGTCAGGCTGGTCTCGAACTCCCGACCTAAGGTGATCCACCTGCCTCAGCCTCCCAAAGTGCTGGGATGACAGGCCTGAGCCACCGTGTCTGGCCAGTATTTGGTTTTCTGTTTCTGTGTTAACTCGCTTAGGATAATGGCCTCTAGCTGCATCCATGTTGCTGCAAAGGACATAATCTTGTGATTTTTCAAGGCTGTATAGCGTTCTGTGGTGTATACATATCACATTGTCTTTATCCAGTCCACCTCTGATGGGACCTGGGTGGATTCCATGTCTTCACTATTGTGAATCCTGCTGCAATGAACATACAAGTGCATGTGTCTTTTTGGTAGAATGATTTATTTTCCTTTGGCTATATACCCAGCGATGGGATTGCTGGGCTGAATGGTAACTCTGTTTGTAGTTCTCTGAAATATCTCCAAACCAAACTGCTTTCCACAGTGGCTGAACTAATTTACACCCACCAACAGTGTATAAGTGTCCCCTTTGCTCCACAATCTCACCAGCATCTGTTAATTTCTGGCTTTTCAGTAATGGCCATTCTGACTGGTGTGAGATGGTATTGTTGAGGGATAATTTAGGAATCAGAGAGACCGAGGGGTTGAGGAGGATTTATTATTATTATTATTATTTAGGTGCACCGGCCCCAGTCAGATTAACATCCAAAAAGACTGAGGCTCGAACAGAGAGTCCGGTTACCTTTTAAGCATTTTGTGGGGTTGGGGGAGATCTGTGCAGGGGGAAGCATATTACAGAAGCAAGAAACAAAGGCAGTTATTCAATTGAGACATGCATCACATTATTCCTTACTTTTCAAGAAAAATATGTTTTACGACTTGAGGTTATCCTGTCTAGTGACCTTGCAGCCGCACGGCAAGAGAAACAGGGTCTTCACAATGCCTGGGAAAGGGAGAGATAAGGCTCACTAGCCACAGACAGAAAAACAGGCAGTTCATGTTTAAAGGACTCCACCTCTTTCTCTTCCTCGGGGGGAACTGGGTTTTCTTAAATACAACTGAGTTTTTGTTTACACATTCTGTAATTTCTTTTAATTCCTGTTCCAGTATCTCACTGTGAAACTCCCTATGTTTTTATACGATTCTCAGGGGGTTTCCTCTGGGCATGATTGGGCACAACTTCCCACAGTCAGCTCTGGGTACGACCTCCACATTGCAGAATTGAGAAGTTGACCCAGAAATGCATTTTGGGCTGAGCAGACAATTGTCAGAGTTGCTGGCTAGACCACAGATGTGTCAGAGGGACCACGGCCTTTCTGTAAGCTCATGGTCAGAGGCGGAGGGGAGTTGTGAACGTTCTGATGAAAGCAGTCAACGTGAAAGCGCTCTGGTGATGGGCGCTGGTGCTCACCCACCACTTCCTGTGTATCTATCTCCCTGGCCCGCCCGGCTCAGTCCCCACTGCTCAGCACTAGGCCGGCAGAATCTGAGCGATGTCTTCCACACTCCCTGCCCTGCTCTGCGTCGGTGAGTTCTGGCGTGGAAGGGGAATGGGATCACGGTGTGCCTGGGAGGCAACAGGTCTCATTACTCCCGTCTTCCAGGGCTGTGTCTGAGTCAGAGGATCAGCGCCCAGCAGCGTGAGTCCTTCCTTCAAAGCCCAGGGTCACTCTTCCGGATTCAGGCCAAGCTCCTTCCACCCAAGCACGGCTGGGGTGAGGGGACAGGGTGCTGGCTTCCCAGGAGAGCTTGGGGCCAGCAGCTGGGTGGAGCCTAAGGTTGGGGGGAGGGGGCTCCGCTGGAACTCCAGCCTCTGATTCCCTTCCAGAGACTCTCCCAAAACCGTTCATCTGGGCCGAGCCCCATTTCATGGTTCCAAAGGAAAAGCAAGTGACCATCTGTTGCCAGGGAAATTATGGGGCTGTTGAATACCAGCTGCACTTTGAAGGAAGCCTTTTTGCCGTGGACAGACCAAAACCCCCTGAGCGGATTAACAAAGTCCAATTCTACATCCCGGACATGAACTCCCGCATGGCAGGGCAATACAGCTGCATCTATCGGGTTGGGGAGCTCTGGTCAGAGCCCAGCAACTTGCTGGATCTGGTGGTAACAGGTAACTGTCCGGTTCTCTAACTGGAGAGTGATCTCAGTCTGCATCCGGGATGCAGCATCATCTATGAACTCTTCCAAGCCCCACTCAGACACTGCTTGTCTCGGTAGGAGGCTGGAAGGAGGGGTGATCCCCATCACAATCCTTGCCTACAAGGGGTTGTCTGCAGACCGTGTCTCTACGTCCTAGGAGCAGATGTGTCCTCAGTCAGTTTCTCCATGACACAGATTCTGAGATAGATATTTGTATGCAGGGGTATGACTGAGGAATGTCCTCAAAAACAATGCCTGTGGGCCAGGCGCAGTGGCTTACACTTTGCTTCCCTCACCCATCACAGGTGGTGGGTTTTTTTTTTTTTTATCTGTTTTGAGACGGAGTTTCGCTCTTGTCACCCAGGCTGGAGTGCAGTGGTGCAATCTCCAGTCACTGCAACCTCCACCTCCTGGGTTCAAGTGATTCTCCAGCCTCAGCTTCCCAAGTAGCTGGGATCACAGGCACCCACCACTACGCCACATTTTGTATTTTTAGTAGAGATGGGGTTTCACCATGTTGGCCAGGGTGGTGTCGAACTCCTGACCTCAGATGATCCGCCCGCCTCACCCTCCCAAAGTGCTGGGATTACAGGTGTGAGCCATCACACCCAGCCAGGTGGTGGTTTTCTAAAAAAAAAAAAAAATTAGCTTTTTTTTTTTTTTAACAATATGGTTGTTTATTATTATTATCAAGTATTATACATAGTTACATATACATACATAATTGTATGTGCTATACAATTAGGTTTGTTTATACCAGCAACACCAAAAACACATGAGCAATACTTTGTGCTAGGAAGGCTATGATGTCATCAGGCAATAGGAATTTTTCAGTTTCATTATAATCTTATGGGACCACCATCATATATGTGGTACATTGTTGGCCAAAATGTCATTATGCAGCTCACAACAGTATTTCATGTCCATTCAAATATCTTCTTTTGTGAAATGTCTATTTAAATCTTTTGCCTATTTTTAAATTGGGTTGCTTATATTTTGATTGATTAGGAAAAGTTATTTCTATATTCTGTGTCATATACTTGTGTTGAAATATATATATTTTTTGTCTGTGCCTTTTCATTTGCTCAGGGTCTTTGGACCTTGTTTGGAGGTTCTGGCAGGGGAACACAGCTACTCATTTATTCTTTTTTTTTTAATTTTTTTAGTATTTATTGATCATTCTTGGGTGTTTCTCGGAGAGGGGGATTTGGCAGGGTCATAGGACAATAGTGGAGAGAAGGTCAGCAGATAAACATGTGAACAAAGGTCTCTGGCTTTCCTAGGCAGAGGTCCCTGCGGCCTTCCGCAGTGTTTGTGTCCCTGGGTACTTGAGATTAGGGAGTGGTGATGACTCTTAAGGAGCATGCTGCCTTCAAGCATCTGTTTAACAAAGCACATCTTGCACCGCCCTTAATCCATTTAACCCTGAGTGGACACAGCACATGTTTCAGAGAGCACGGGGTTGGGGGTAAGGTCATAGATTAACAGCATCCCAAAGCAGAAGAATTTGTCTTAGTACAGAACAAAATGGAGTCTCCTATGTCTACTTCTTTCTACACAGACACAGTAACAATCTGATCTCTCTTTCTTTTCCCCACATTTCCCCTTTTTCTATTCGACAAAACCGCCATCGTCATCATGGCCCGTTCTCAATGAGCTGTTGGGTACACCTCCCAGACGGGGTGGCGGCCGGGCAGAGGGGCTCCTCACTTCCCAGACGGGGCGGCCGGGCAGAGGCGCCCCCCCACCTCCCAGACGGGGCAGTGGCCGGGCGGGGGCTGCCCCCCAACCTCCCGGACGGGGCGGCTGGCCGGGGCTTTTTTTTTTTTTTTTGAGAC
The DNA here is from genome assembly GCF_000001405.40 of Homo sapiens. NCBI lineage: Eukaryota > Metazoa > Chordata > Mammalia > Primates > Hominidae > Homo > Homo sapiens. Next base: position 3,311 of record NW_016107312.1, on the reverse strand, counting down.
AGTCTCGCTGCAGTGCAGTGGTACAATCTCAGCTCACTGCAACCTCTGCCTCAGCCTCAATTCTCCTGCCTCAGCCTCCCAAGTAGTTGAGATTACAGGCATGTGCCACCACACCCGGCTAATTTTTGCATTTTTAGTAGAGACGGGGTTTCACCATGTTGACCAGGCTGGTCTCAAACTCCTGACCCAGGAGGTCGAGGCTTCAGTAAGCAAAGATAGTGCCACGGCGCTCCAGCCTGGGAAACAGAGCAAGACCCTGTATCATTTTTAAAAATGGTTTTAGACGGTAAATCTTCTATTGTGTGTATTTGACCAAAATAATAATTAAAAAAAAAAAAAAAAGCTGGCTGCCAGGCATGGTGGCAGGCCCCTGTAGTCCCAGCTACTTGGGAGGGTGAGGCAGGAGAAACGCTTGAACCCGGGAGGCGGAGGTTGCAGTGAGCCAAGATCGTGTCACTGCACTCCAGCCTGGGCGACAGAGAGAGACTCCATCTCTAAAGAAAGAAAAAAAAAAATAGCTGGCTGCTCATCACTGAGTTTCTGGTGTGGTGGCCCCACCTTCTCTCATAGAAATGTATGACACACCCACCCTCTCGGTTCATCCTGGACCCGAAGTGATCTCGGGAGAGAAGGTGACCTTCTACTGCCGTCTAGACACTGCAACAAGCATGTTCTTACTGCTCAAGGAGGGAAGATCCAGCCACGTACAGCGCGGATACGGGAAGGTCCAGGCGGAGTTCCCCCTGGGCCCTGTGACCACAGCCCACAGAGGGACATACCGATGTTTTGGCTCCTATAACAACCATGCCTGGTCTTTCCCCAGTGAGCCAGTGAAGCTCCTGGTCACAGGTGAGGAAATGCTCAATTCCCCACACCCTTCGCCGCCATGTGCTACCTGGAGCCCTGAGGGATCCCCAGAGAGTGATGGGGAGGGTGTCCAAGGGACGTCCACTTCCTGGGTGCCTGGTTGGTCATGTGAGGAAGAACACCAGAAGCAGGAAGGAGGAGGGAACAGAGAAAGGAATGGTAAGGCGGGTGGATCACAAGGTCAGGAGTTCGAGACCAGCCTGGCCAAGACGGTGAAACCCCGTCTCTACTAAAAATACAGAAATTAGCCAGACGCAGTGGCGGACACCTGTAGTCCCAGCTACTCAGGAGGCTGAGGCAGGAGAATCGCTTGAACCCGGGAGGCGGGGGTTGTAGTGAACCGAGATCATACCACCGCACTGCAACCTGGGCGACAGAGCAAGACTCCATCTCAAAAAAAAAAAAAAAAAAAAAAGAATGGCAAGACCGGAGGAAACCAAAAACCCTTACTTTTTTTTCTTTATCTCCTTTTCCAGGCGACATTGAGAACACCAGCCTTGCACCTGAAGACCCCACCTTTCCTGGTGAGTAACTGGTCCTTCTAAGCTCAGACGAGCGATCAGAGCCTCCCAGTGACACTAAAAACGTGGCATTCATTCAAAATATTCATCGAGGCCAGGCGTGGTGGCTCACGCCTGTAATCCCAGCACTTTGGGAGGCCGAGATGGTGCATCATTTGAGGTCAGGAGTTTGAGACCAGCCTGGCCAACATGGCGAAACCCTGTCTCTACTAAAAATACAAAACTTAGGCTGGGCATCATGGCTCACACCTGTAATCCCAACACTTCGGGAGGCCAAGGTGGTTGGATCACAAGGTCAGGAATTCGAGACCAGCCTGACCAACATGGTGAAACCCCATCTCTACTAAAAATACAAAAATTAGCCGGGCCTGGTGGTGCTCGCCTGTAATCCCAGCTACTCAGGAGGCTGAGGCAGGAGAATTGTTGAACCTGGGATGCAGAGGTTGCAGTGAGCTGAGATCGCGCCACTGCATTCCACTCCACTGCACGACACAGCGAGACTCCATCTCACAGAAAAACAAAAACAAAACTATTATATATATATATTCATCAAGTGCATAGTATACACAGTGAACTACACTGTAACAGTCAGCCAGGCAGATATCTTGACTGTGCAGCACTTAGATTCTAGCAGGAGGAGACACACCATCGGTCAACGTCAGGATAGCACACAGGAGGGAATGATGCTATGGAAGGAAAAGACAAAGTAGAACAGACTTACAGTGATTGAAATGGCAGCTAGCAATATTAAATAGGTTTGTCCAGATGGACCTCACAGAGAAAGAAGGCATCTGAGCAAATGCGTTCAGACTTGAGTTAATCATGTGGCTGTCAGGAGAAAGGAGGCTCTGGAGAGAATGAAATGGCATCTGCCTGTGCCCTGGGGCAGGAAGATAACTGGGGTAATACAATAATAACTATGAGGCCAGGAGGGTTGAAAATGATGTTTGGAAGATGACGGTGGGATGGGCCTGGGGCGCACGGCTAGGATTACAGGAGTGAGGCCCGGCGCGGTGGCTCACGCCTGTAATCCCAGCACTTTGGGAAACCGAGGCAGGTGGATCATGAGGTCAGGAGATCAAGACCATCCTGGCTAACACGGTGAAACCCTGTCTCTACTAAAAAAAAATACAAAAATTATCCGGGCGTGGTGGCGGGCGCCTGTAGTCCCAGCTACGCAAGAGGCTGAGGCAGGAGAATGGCGTGAACCCGGGAGACGGAGCTTGCAGTGAGCTGAGATCGCGCCACTGCACTCCAGCCTGGGCGACAGAGTGAGACTCCGTCTCAAAAAAAAAGAAAAAGAAAAAGAAAAAGAAAAAAAAATAGTGAGACTTTGAATTTCACTATGTGTGAGGAGAAAGAGGTAATGATGACTTAATGAGGAAAATGAGGCTTAAATAGAAGACGGGCTGGGCCGGGTGGCTCCTGCATGTAATCCCAGCACTTTGGAAGGCAGGGGCGGCTGGATCACTTGAGGTCAGGAGTTCAAGACCAGCCTGGCCAACACAGTGAAACCCCATCTCTACTAAAAATACAAACATGAGTTGGGTGTGGTGGCGCACGCCAGTAATTACAGCTACTCGGGGCTGAAGCAAGAGGATTGCTTGAACTCGGGAGGCGGAGGTTGCAGTGAGCTGAGATCACACCACTGTACTCCAGCCTCAGAGGCCTGCCATCCCAGCCCTTTGGGAGGCCGAAGCAGGCAGGTCATCTGAGGTTGGGAGTTCAAGACCAGCCTGGCCAACATGGCAAAACCCCGTTTCTACTAAAAATATGAAAAAAATTACCTGGGTATGTGGTGTGTGCCTGTAGTCCCAGCTACTCCAGAGGCTGGAACACAGTGAGACTCTATCTCAAAAAAAAAAAAAATAGAAGACATGACTGGTGCAAAGACACATGCTCACAAGTGCTAGAATGGAATTC